>NC_000002.12:19782482-19933997 GCF_000001405.40 Homo sapiens | reverse complement strand
AGAGCTCTGTTTTGGGTCTAGCTTCCTGAACTGATTAATGGCAGACTTCTCTAGGACATTTCTTTATAGAGGTATTTGAGGGCTCTGTGAATGTGAGATTTCCCTTAAGTCTCTAGTTAATAATTAGCACTGAGTATACCACCAATTGATATAAAGGCTTTTTTCACCCACTGGTGGGGGATTTGTTTTGGAGCTTGACATTTCTGTATACTAGCTACTGAACTGAGATAAGAAAGGAGTGCAGTGTCTTCAGGGCCTCGTTAAAAATCAGATCCACAGCCTGAGCCAGTGAAGCTCTGGATTTATAGAAGTGATGCCTTAGCATCCATTCTCATTTGTACCCTCTGCCCTTGCGTCTGTTTACAAGAAAAATCTGTAACTACCAGTAAATTTAATACTCATACGTCCCTACGGAGTTTTGTTAAATTAAAATATAAGTAATTTCCTTGGTCTGTGAAATCTGATAGTATTGTTTTGTTTGTACAGGAAATAGCACAAATGTTTGTCAGAGTTGGAATGTGTGAACAAGCAGTGACTGCATTTTTGAAATGTAGTCAACCAAAGGCAGCAGTAGATACCTGCGTACATCTCAACCAAGTAGGAACTGAAACTTTCTGTCTGTGCAGCTTATTGTCTTAGGAATTTTTAAGTCAAAGCAAGGTTAAAGTCACCCTAGTGATCTTTTAAAGATTATTGCCAATGTAAGGGTTGGAGAGCCTGACGTGAATTTTATGAAAGGAGCCAGGCGGGTATTCTCTTAATTGAGGATGAAGAAAGTTGCACTTACCTCTTAAAGTGCTACCATGAGGGGTGACCCACTTATAACCAGCTCAGTATGGGAGCATGAACAAACCTTGTGCTTTTAGTCTGGCAAGTTTTTGTCTGGAAGTAATTTCATAATTTTCTGCATTTTGTTAGGGTTGGGTTTTGTTTCCAAAGAAGGACCAGTTAATGGTTGGTCATTGCCTGAGGAAGGAATTGAGTTACTTTATCAATATTTATTTTGGCAAATCTGTTTTCCTTTTCCTTTATAGAAAACATACATTTGATATTTTTAAGAGCTGAAATTAAACTAAAAGTACAGCGTTATTATAGAAACTATTGACTATTAATGTATTCTTTTAATATTTTTCTTATTTTTTAAAACCCCTTTTGCTTTATAAAAATAATTTTTAAATGTCAAATCTGATAGGACATTTTCACAACTGAAATTGCATATTTTGTTTTACTATAACATATAAACAAGTGTATCTTTCTTGCTTGAAGTTTTGTAAGATTAGAATTACAAGATTAATATGATTATAAACTTTGAAACTTTCATTTTCACATGTATTTCTTAAGCAAATCAGAGTCTTAGAGATCATTTAATCATTTTGACTTATGCTTATAGGACTTATGTTGCTGTGATTTTAAATGCTATTTTTAAAACATACCAGTTTTTAATTTTGAAATAGTGTTTTTACTATAAACTTAAAGCTTTCTTGTGTGAATTTTATGATATATGTGACTGTAAATACTTGGGTGACTGAATGGTGTAATTTTTCTCCTAGTGGAACAAAGCTGTTGAATTGGCTAAAAATCATAGTATGAAAGAAATTGGATCTCTGTTAGCTAGGTATGCATCTCATTTACTGGAAAAGAATAAAACTCTTGATGCCATAGAACTCTATCGGAAAGCCAATTACTTTTTTGATGCAGCTAAACTGATGTTTAAGGTAATGTAAAAATCTTGGTGAATAGTTGATTTGTTCCAGTCACAATATTTTAATATATGAAAGAGCATATTCTCCATTTTCTTTGGAAACAAATATTTATTACAGCAAAACCACTCTGGTTTTATTGCTTCTGTATACATTATTTTAGTATTATTGCCTTTTACCAACAAAGATGTTTATTAATATTAGCAACTTACTAATACCTAAACAATTGTATGTTGAATACTGGAGTTAACAAAGAGTTAAAGAAATTACTGAGACTGCAAAGTACAAATTTCTACAACAGGGAATTAAATTTTGTTGATAATAGAGTTTTAAGTTCTTTTAAATGTACAAGTTTTAAATATTACGCTTTACATAATATTTATTTGGAGGGAAGATAATTAGTACAGTATTAATGTATACACATTTTACCTTCTATTCTATTCCCATTTGATTTAATGAAAAAGGAAAAATATCTCTTAAAATCATTTAAATAAGTTTCAGCTTCTGAAGGATGCACCATGTTAACACTATCATATCTTTGTGTACTTGGAACATTATTTTAAAAATCTCTGTATTATGGAAAATACCAGCATTTCATCAATACTTTCTTTATTCTGATTTAGTTATCTAACAGCACCTCTCATTTTCTAAGAGTGATCTGAATTCCAACTCCTAGGGCTAAATACTAAGGAAAGAACTAAATACGAATAGGTACTAATGAAAAGAAGATAGGTTTTAAAATATTTATCTTAAATAGGTGATATTTATATTCCATCTTACTGATTTTCCTCCTTTTTTAGGGAATCAAATTTGTTAGTTTTGGAAATGATTGTATTTGTACAAATATAGATAAGAAGTAACTTCCCTCAATTTTGAAAAATGTTTAAGATTGCAGATGAAGAGGCAAAGAAAGGAAGTAAACCTTTACGTGTCAAGAAGCTCTATGTACTGTCAGCCTTACTTATAGAGCAATACCATGAACAGATGAAGAATGCCCAGCGAGGAAAAGTTAAAGGAAAAAGTTCAGAGGTAAAGTAGCACGTTAAATAACATTACATCATTGGAAGTGTTTAAGAAAAAAAAAAAAAGAAACTATTAAACTTCTTTTATGGATAGGTCATTTAATTTGCATGTCTGCATTTGTTTCCTTAAATGATATGAAGAAAAAGAATGACTGATTTAGAATTAGTATTCAAATTCAGAAATTTCTACCTAGAAATATTGAAATTGTTTTTCTGTAATACTAATCTGTAGTCTTTGCTTTAATGTCTTATTTGTTAAAAAATTTTACTTACCTGGGAAATCTTCCTTTCTAATCAGTGAGTTTTAAAACTTTCCTAGATATATTGTTGTAATGCGTAAATGAATGTCTGATTAACTTAGAATCTAATTAGTTATATTTTAAAATTTATTCATACCAGTTTAACAAACTATGAATTATAATAAAAAATTAAATCTGTTTTGGGTGCAGTGCTCACACCAGTGATCTCAGTGACTAGGGAGGCTTAGGTGGGAGGATCACTTGAGTCCATGAGTTTGAGACTGCAGTGAGCTATGACCACGCAGCTGCATTCCAGCTTGGGTGACAGAGTAATACCTCATCTCTTAAAAAAAAAAGTCTGTAATCATAGTTTTGTAATGATAAAATCTGCTCATTTAGATACTTTAATGACTGTTGTTATTTGGGAGTTGACACTGTGTGTGCGTTTGTGCTGACGGAAAGTGTGGGCTGACTTTACTCGTAGGCCACTTCTGCCTTGGCTGGTTTGCTGGAAGAAGAAGTTCTGTCTACAACAGATCGTTTCACAGATAATGCATGGAGAGGGGCAGAGGCTTACCACTTCTTTATACTTGCACAGAGGCAGCTCTATGAGGGATGTGTGGACACTGCACTGAAGACAGGTGGGCATGTCACCTAATGTGTATAGTATGTCTGAAAATTATAAATTGAGTATGAAGGGCTAGCTTCTTCAATTTGCCTTTATGTGGCCTTCAATAACATTTTTTCCTATGGATTTATTTTCCTATGTTTGAGTCTTATGCATTCCCATTTTTGAAGTTTTTTTTAATACAGAGAAAACACATAGTTCACAGAAATGTCAGAAATTTGAGATAAGCAAAAAGAATGTGTATAGCATTCATATGGCTAGCCATTCAAAGTTAAATACTTCATAGCCAAGTTCATATTTTTTGGAGAAAAATATATATACATATATCTATTAAATATATTTAATACATATATTTAAATACATAAAATATATTTAATACATACATTCAGATAATTTTATTCTTTACAATATCGGGAGTATAACATGGCATACTTTTATGTACTTTTTGAAAACCACGTTTTAAAATATTTCCATATTTTACATATACATTGCTATAGCATTTATCTTGTGTTTTATAAAAGTGATACTTAGCTAATAATTTCAACCAAAACAGAAAAATATGAAGAAAAAGTAAAATAATCTAACAATTTGTAAAATAATCCTATAACTCAGAGGTAATCATTGCTAAGGTTTGGGTAAACTTCCTTTTAGATGTTTCTACATGCAGGAGCATGGTTTTTTCCCTCAGCAGTATATTATAGTTCTTTCCTCATTCTTAAACAGAGATCTATATAAACATTCTACCTAATATTCCATGGTATTTGTATACTGTAATTGATAGAAGATTATTTACATGTAATATCAGGATCTCAATTTCTTCTTAACAATAACAATATTCTAGAATTTAGATATATGAACTCCAGAGAGTGTAATTATGATAATTATGTTGTAAGCCAAAGCATATGAATGACTAAATCATTACTGGTCTTTCAGCTTGGCCATGGCAAGCACTGTCATGACACCCCACCCTTCCTCTGTCATATTGGTGACATCATCCATTTGCTGCTCACATCATCACCATATGCACATCACACTCTAATCCTAATACATCATGAATCTGTATTCCAATGGCATGATATTAAAAGAAAACTTTTAGAGAAATTCTTTTATTTGAATATTTCTGGAATTCTATAGTGATGATTTTTATTTTTAATTATTTTTATAAGAGCTCTTTAGAGACCATATGTAATAATCGTCTTTCATATATATTGATTTTCCCTAGCATTTATAAGTTATAGTTACTTGATCCTTTCTAAGCTTCAGTTTCTCTTTGTGTAAAGAAAGGATAATAGTATCTTCCTCAGCCGGGTGCAGTGGCTCATGCCTGTAATCCCAGCACTTTGGGAGGCTGAGGCGGGTGGATCACAAGGTCAGGAGATCGAGAGCATCCCGGCTAACACGGTGAAACCCTGTCTTTACTAAAAATACAAAAAAATCAGCTGGGTGTAGTGGCAGGTGCCTGTAGTCCCAGCTACTTGGGAGGCTGAAGCAGGAGAATGGTGTGAACCTGGGAGGCGGAGCTTGCAGTGAGCCGAGATCGCACCGCTGCACTCCAGCCTGGGTGACAGAGCGAGACTCCGTCTCAAAAAAAAAAAAAAATAGTATCTTCCTCATAGAGTTATTGTAATGATTGAGAAGTTCATGAAAAGAAAACTCACTTATTATGCTGCCTGGACATTGTGAGCCCTCAATAAGTGGTAGCTGTGATGATGATATTAATAGTTTTTTTTATATAGTCATGTCTGTCAGTCTTTTACTTCATATTTTTCTCTTAGGAATCATGCTTAGGAATTCCTTCAAGTTTGTTAAATATTATGTTTATTATAACATCTAAGTTATCCTGAAACCATATATTAGGTTTATTCTTTCTTAACAGATTTGAAATTCTACCTTAATGTGCCGAGACCAGCTCAGTCAGGGAGACCCTAACCAAGCGGCGCTAGAGGAATTAAAGACACACACACAGAAATATAGAGGTGTGAAGTGGGAAATCAGGGGTCTCACAACCTTCAGAGCTGAGAGCCCCGAACAGAGATTTACCCACGTATTTATTAACAGCAAGCCAGTCATTAGCCTTGTTTCTATAGATATTCGATTAACTAAAAGTATCCCTTATGGGAAACGAAGGGATGGGCTGAAATAAAGGGATGGGTCTGGCTAGTTATCTGCAGCAGGAGCATGTCCTTAAGGCACAGATTGCTCATGCTACTGGTTGTGGTTTAAGAACTCCTTTAAGCAGTTTTCTGCCCTGGGCGGGCCAGGTGTTCCTTGCCCTCATTCCAGTAAACCACAACCTTCCAGAGTGGGTGTTATGGCCATCATGAACCTGTCACAGTGCTGCTGAGATTTTGTTTATGGCCAGTTTTGGGGCCAGTTTATGGCCAGATTTTGAGGGGTGCCTGTTCCCAACATGTCCCCCTTCTTTGATTTGCAAATCTATAAAGGCAAGGACAGCTTTGTCATGGTGAGCTACTTCTTGCAGGAGTCAGGATCCACATCTGCAGACTATAGAAAGACAAACAACACAGATTAAAAGCACAATCATCATTGAAATTACAGGGCTTCCAAGTGTTTTTATCCATTTTAATGGATTACTAGCTGCTAATCTGTCTGCAGCTCCTTTAAGCACTCCAGTTCTTGGCATTAAGGTCAGGTGTCCCTGGGATGCTTTGAATATTTGTTCTTTTAATTTTGCTATATCCAAAAACAAGTTTGTAGAGTGTCCTTCTAGACGCTTTTTTATTCTTTCCCAAATTTTGATCTTGTTAAGAGCTATTAATAGTTTCCACAAATCCTTAATGTTTAGCTCCTAGAGCGGGCCATATCATTTGAGGTTGAGGTGCCACTATACCACCATGGTTCTAGATAATAGGAACTCTTGCCGTACTTCTTATTATATCTACCACCTGAACATTTTGTTGAGACCATCTGAACATAAGTATGGCATGGCACACAGACTGAGAAGTGCAATTCAAGCTAAACATCCCCTTAGGGGACCAATTAATAATGATTCCATAGGAATCATTGTGCAGCACCTCTGCCTGTTCTGCAATGCAATCTTCCTAAACAAGTACGTTCATTTTTTTCTGGCCAGGTTCAATTTTGTTTACAAATAGGTTTTTGAGGGCGGTATGCCTCAATTATAGGAGCAGATTTATTATGGTAAATACTGAGATCAGAAAGCTGTGTAACAGCATCATAGAGTGATTACATCTAGGCATTATTGCCAGCCAAGATTGATAAATATGCCCAATAAGTGTAATTGTTCCCTGTGTCAGCCCTTACTGAAGGAATACTCATAGCAGTGGTGATAACAGCTATCATAGCTACCATTAAATTACTCATTGTGACTGGTTGTCCCACTTTCCTCAGGTTTTCTTCCGCCATCTGTGACAGCTTCTTGATCTGTCCCCAGTTAGTTGACTGTGTTCAACGGGTGTTGCTTGCGACAGCTGGGGTCCTCCTCAGTGTCAGTCTCGAAATGGCTGCAACAGGGTGGGGGGGGTCCTCGAGATCCTCCCGGAATCTCTTCCTTGGCATCTGGCTCATGATAAGGTTTCAGGTGTCTTGATGGTATCCAAATCGGCTGTTGATTTTGGCCTGGAGAAACACAAGCATAACCTCTACCCCAAGTTATTATTTTACCTATTTCCCAACTTTTTGTTATCAGATCTCTCCACCAAACTAGTTGTTCTGCTTCTGTCTTTGCAGCTGGTTTCTGTAGATGCTGTTCAGCTGCTGATAACATCTGGCATTTGGGCAGGCTCAAAAAATTTAAAGTTAATAATGCTAGATTCAATTGTGTATGGGCTGTCCCATAATCCCTGTCTCTCCCTCTTTTTTGTTTTTGTCATCAGTTGTTCATCTGTATGAAATCATAACTGAGCATTTTCAATTAACTGTGTAGAATGAACCACGTATGAAGAATCAGATATCACATTAATAGGCAAATCAAAAGCAGTCATTACCTCAATTACAGCTACAAGCTTCGCTTTTTGAACTGAAGTATAGGGCGTCTGGAAAACTTAACCTTTTGATCCAGAATAAGAAGCTTTACCATGACTAGACCCATCTGTAAAACAATGAAAACACTTAGCAGGCTGCAGGTTGTTTACCACAGGAATTGTAAATGCAAACTGTTCACAGTCTTGCTCAGCTAAGGGGATAGTAAAGAAACAGTATTTTAAATCTATGACTATTAAAGGCCAATTTTTTGGAATTATAGCAGGAGAAGGCAATCCTGGCTGTAATGCTCCCATAGGTTGTATAACTGAATTGATGGCTCTTAAGTCAGTTAAAATTCTCCATTTACCTGATTTTTTCTTAATTACGCAAACTGGAGAATTCCAAGGGGAAAATGTTGGAGCTATGTGCCCATTTTCTAATTGTTTAGTAACTAATTTCTCTAAAGCCTCCGGTTTCTCTTTACTTAGTGGCCATTGTTCTATCCAAATTGGCTTATCTGTTAACCATTTTAAAGGTATAGGTTCTAGAGGCTTAACAATGAGCACCATCAAAAATGATATCCTAATCTTTGGCGGGAACTTTGTCTTTCCACTTGAAGCGGTTCTTCCAAAGCTTGCAGATTTTTTTCTAGTCCCATACCAGGGATATACCCCATTTCATGCATTATATGTTGACTTTGAGGGCTATATAATTGTTCTGGAATTAGAACTTGTGCTCCCCATTGTTGCAATAAATCTCTCCCCCATAAATTTATAGGTACAGAAGTTATAATTGGTTGAATAGTCCCAGGTTGTCCATCGGGCCCTTCACAATGCAAAATATAACTACTTTGATATACTTCAGGGGCTTTACCAACTCCAACTATGTTAAGTTGAGTGGGTTGAATTGGCCACGCAGATGGCCAGTGCTGTAGAGAAATGATTGAAATGTCCGCTCCTGTATCTACCAAACCTTTAAATTCTTTTCCCCTAAATAGTTACTTCACAGGTAGGACGTTTATCAGTAATTTGATTTACCCAGTAAGCTGCTTTGCCTTGTTTATTTGTGCTTCCAAATATATTGTGTTGGTTTAATTTCACTTTTCCCCATTCCCACATATGGCAGAATAAGGAGCTATGCTATGCACTCTCCTGGCTTCTTTCTAGGGAACAGAAGTAGATATAACAATTTGAATTTCCCCATTGTATTCTGAATCCATGACTCCTGTATGTATTTATACCCCTTTTAAACTTAAACTAGACTTTCCTAAAAGTAATCCTATTGTCCCCACTGGCAAGGGTCCACAGACCCTTTGCGGGGGTTCCCCAGGCAGAAGGCTCACAGTTTTGTGCAGCATAAATCTACTGCGGCACTACTGGCTGTGGCGGGGAACAGACATTGTACAGGGGTGAGGGAATGGCCTGAGCTGGAAATGCACCAGTTTGGAATGGGGCCCAGGACGGGCCCCTCATTGCATTTCCCAAAATCAGGTTCCCATCTTTATTAAACTTAGAGTGACACTGATTAGCCCAATGTCCTTTTTTACATTTTGGACATATTTCAGGCTCAGCAGTTTTCTTTTTTCAGCTATCTGGTGGCCTGACTTGCTGATTTTTTCTACATTCTTTTTTAGTATGACCATGCTTCCCACAGTTAAAACACCCTCCAGGAAATGGAGTATTTCCTTTATCCACTCTTAGTCCTGCCATTGCTCGTGCTAGCAGAGTAGCCTTATGCAGATTACCTCCGATAACATCACAGGCCTTGATAAAATCAACTAAATGTGCTTTCCCTCTGATAGGTCGCAGAGCAGCCTGGCAGTCAGGATTAGCATTGTCAAAAGCTAATAACTGCAGCACTATATCCTGAGCAGCCAAATCTGCAATCACCTTTTTGTTTTGAGATGAAATCTCACTCTGTCGCCCAGCCTGGAGTGCAGTGGCGCGATCTCGGCTCACTGCAAGCTCCGCCTCCCGGGTTCACGCCATTCTCCTGCCTCAGCCTCCTGATTAGCTGGCACTACAGGCGCCCGCCACCACACCCGGCGAATTTTTTGTATTTTTAGTAGAGACGGGGTTTCACCATGTTAGCCAGGATGGTCTCGATCTCCTGACCTTGTGATCCACCCCCCTCAGCCTCCCAAAGTGCTGGGATTACAGGCATGAGCCACTGCACCCGGCCTGCAATCACCTTTTTAAGAGACTCCTGTAACCAAGCTATAAAATCCACATATGGTTCTTTTGGTCCCTGTTTTATAGCACTAAAGGAAGCGTATTGTTCTCCACATAAAGGGATTTTTTCCCAAGCTCTAATGCACACTCCTCTAAGCTGTTCTATGGCATCATCCTGCATGACCACTTGTGCATCTAAACCAGCCCAGCCGCCAACCCCCAAAAGTTGGCCTGTAGTTATATTAATTTGAGGCTGGGCCTGGGCGTTGCAAGCAGCCTGAATGGAAGCTTCATGGGCCCACCAAGTTTTAAATTGTAAGAACTGAGCAGGAGTTAGACAAGCCTGAGTAAGAGCATCCCAGTCAGTAGGAATCATCTGACTGGAAACAGCAACATTCTTTAACAGTCCCATTACAAAATGAGAACCTGGTCCATACTGATTTATAGCTTGTTTAAATTCTTTGAGCAATTTAAAAGGAAAAGGCTCAAATGTAGCTGTAATATTTCCCCGTTGTTCTGGGGGGTGTATTCTAACAGGGAACTGTCAAGCCTGTAAATCACCCTCTCGTCTAGCTTGCTGAATTCCTGCCTGAATAGAACTAAGAGCAGTCACTCAAGGTGCTGTTCGAACAGTCACTGGGGCAACTCTTTTCATCCAGTGTCCTCTGGAAAAGAAAGATCTGGAGGGTCATTTTCTTCAAAATAATAATGAGGGGGTGCAGAAGGATAGGGATGAACCTCTCTCCTTTACCGCTTTAGCTTTAGCTGGCAAATAAACCTGCTCTGTAATCTCTTCTGTTACTTCGTTATACTCTCCTTCCTCCTCATCATCAGTGTGAAAAAGTTCCAAGGTGGAACGAACCACAGCCCACACTTTTCCCATTGTTACCCTGATGCTTCCGAGCTCCCCTTCTTACTCACTACGGGGATTGCTTTAAGAGTACTCAGGTGTCCTCCAGCTAGTTCCACGTTCTCCAACTGTTGCTCCAGCGACCCTTTGATCTGGATTCAAGCCCCCACGGTGGATGCCACTTGCCGAGACCAGCTCGGTCGGGGAGACCCTAACTCAGCGGTGCTAAAGGAATTAAAAACACACACACAGAAATATAGAGGTGTGAAGTGGGAAATCAGGGGTCTCACAACCTTCAGAGCTGAGAGCCCTGAACAGAGATTTACCCACGTATTTATTAACAGCAAGCCAGTCATTAGCCTTGTTTCTATAGATATTTGATTAACTAAAAGTATCCCTTATGAGAAATGAAGGAATGGGCTGAAATAAAGGGATGGGTCTGGCTAGTTATCTGCAGCAGGAGCATGTCCTTAAGGCACAGATCACTCATGCTACTGGTTGTGGTTTAAGAACTCCTTTAAGCAGTTTTCTGCCCTGGGCGGGCCAGGTGTTCCTTGCCCTCATTCCAGTAAACCCACAACCTTCCAGCGTGGGTGTTATGGCCATCATGAACCTGTCACAGTGCTGCTGAGATTTTGTTTATGGCCAGTTTTGGGGCTGGTTTATGGCCAGATTTTGTGGAGCCTGTTCCCAACATTCATGAAACTAAATTTATACTTTTTTTTAATTATACTTTAAGTTCTGGGGTACATGTGCAGAATGTGCAGGTTTGTTACATAGGTATACACATGCGTTGGTGGTTTGCTGCACCCATCAACCCGTCATCTACATTAGGTATTTCTCCTTATGCTATCCCTCCCCCAGCCCCCCACCCCCTACAGGCCCCGGTGTGTGATCTCCTGCCCCTGTGTCCATGTGTTCTCATTGTTCGACTCCCACTTATGAATGAGAACCTGAGGTGTTTGGTTTTCTGTTCTTGTGTTAGTTTGCTGAGAATGATGGTTTCCAGCTTCATCCACGTCCCTCCAAAGGACATGAATGCATCCTTTTTTATGGCTGCATAGTATTCCCTGGTGTATATGTGCTGCATTTTCTTTATCCAGTCTATCATTGATGGGCATTTGGGTTGGCTCCAAATCTTTGCTATTGTGAACAGTGCTGCAGTAAGCATACATGTGCATGTGTCTTTATAGTAGAATGATTTATAATCCTTTGGGTATATACCCAGCAATGGGATTGCTGGGTCAAATGGTATTTCTAGTTCTAGATCCTTGAGGAATCGCCACACTGTCTTCCACAATGGTTGAACTCATTTACACTCCCACCAACAGTGTAAAAGCATTCCTATTTCTCCACGTCCTCTCTAGCATCTGTTGTTTCCTGACTTTTTAATGATCACCATTCTAACTGGTGTGAGATGGTATCTCATTGTGGTTTTGATTTGCATTTCTCTAATGACCAGTGATGATGAGCTTTTCTTCATGTTTGTTGGATGCAAAAATGTCTTCTTTTGAAAAGTTTCTGTTCATATCCTTCACCCACTTTTTGATGGAGTTATTTGTTTTTTTCTTGTAAATTTGTTTAAGTTCTTTGTAGATTCTGGATATTAGCCCTTTGTCAGATGGGTAGGTTGCAAAAATTTTCTGTAGGTTGCCAGTTCACTCTGTTGATAGTTTCTTTTGCTGTGCAGAAGCTCTTTAGTTTAATCAGATCCCATTTTTCTATTTTGGCTTTTGTTGCCACTGCTTTTGGTGTTTTAGTTATGAAGTCTTTGCCCATGCCTATGTCCTGAATGGTATTGCCTAGGTTTTCTTCTAGGGTTTTTATGGTTTTAGGTCTTACGTTTAAGTCTTTAATCCATCTTGAGTTAATTTTTGTATAAGGTGTAAGGAAGGGATTCAGTTTCAGCTTTCTGCATATGGCTAGCCAGTTTTGCCAACATCATTTATTAAATAGGGAATCCTTTCCCCATTTCTTGTTTTTGTCAGGTTTCTCAAAGATCAGATGGTTGTAGATGTTTGGCGTTGTTTCTGAGGCCTCTATTCTGTTCCATTGGTCTATATATCTGTTTTGGTACCAGTACCGTGCCGTTTTTGTTGCTGTAGCCTTGTAGTATAGTTCGTAGTCAGTTAGTGTGATGCTTCCAGCTTTGTTCTTTTTGCTTAGGATTGTGTTGGCTATGCGGGCTCTTTTTTGGTTCCATATGAAATTTAAAGTTCTTTCTAATTCTGTAAAGAAAGTCAATGGTAGCTTGATTGGGATAGCATTGAATCTATAAATTACTTTGGGCAGTATGGCCATTTTGATGATATTGGTTCTTCCTATCCATGAGCATGGAATGTTTTTGCATTTGTTTGTGTCCTCTCTTATTTTCTTGAGCAGTGGTTTGTAGTTCTCCTTGAAGAGGTCCTTCACATCCCTTGTAAGTTGTATTCCTAGGTATTTTATTCTCTTTGTAGCCATTGTGAATGGGAGTTCACTCACGATTTGGCTCTCTGTTTGGCTGTTTTTGGTGTATAGGAATGCTTGTGATTTTTGCACATTGATTTTGTATCCTGAGACTTTGCTGAAGTTACTTATCAGCTTAAGGAGATTTGGGGCTGAGATGATGGAGTTTTCTAAATATACAATCATGTCATCTGCAAACAGGGACAATTTGACTTCCTCTTTTCCTAATTGAATATCCTTTATTTCTTTCTCCTGCCTGATTGTCTTGGCCAGAACTTCCAATACTGTGTTGAATAGGAGTGGTGGGAGAGGGCATCCTTGTCTTGTGCTGGTTTTCAAAGGGAATGCTTCCAGGTTATGCCCATTCAGTATGATATTGGCTGTGGGTTTGTCATAAATGGCTGTTATTATTTTGAGATATGTTCCATCAGTGCCTAGTTTGTTGAGAGTTTTTCGTATGAAGGCTGTTGAATTTTGTTGAAGGCTTTTTCTGCATCTATTGAGATAATCATGTGGTTTATGTCACTGGTTTTGTTTATGTGGTGGATTATATTTATTGATTTGCGTATGTTGAACCAGCCTTGCATCCCAGGGATGAAGCCAACTTGATCATGGTGGATAAGCTTTCTGATGCACTGCTGGATTTGGTTTGCCAGTATTTTATTGAGGATTTTCTCATAGATGTTCATCAGGGATATTGGCCTGAAATTTTTTGTTGTTGTTGTGTCTCTGCCACATTTTGGTATCAGGATGATGCTGGCTTCATAAAATGAGTTAGGGAGGATTCCCTCTTTTTCTGTTGTTTGGAATAGTTTCAGAAGGAATAGTACCAGCTCCTCTTTATACCTCTGGTAGAATTTGGCTGTGAATCCGTCTGGTCCTGGACTTTTTTTGGTTGGTGGGCTATGAATTGCTGCTCAATTTCAGAACTTGTTATTGATCTGTTCAGGGATTCGACTTCTTCCTGGTTTAGTCTTGGGAGGGTGTATGTGTCCAGGAATTTATCCATTTCTTCTAGATTTTCTAGTTTATTTGCATAGAGGTGTTGATAGTCTTCTCTGGTGGTAGTCTGTATTTCTGTGGGATTGGTGGTGATATCCCTTTTATCATTTTTTATTGCATCTATTTGATTCTTCTCTCTTTTCTTCTTTCATAGTCTAGTGGTCTATCTATTTTGTTGTTGTATTCAAAAAACCAGTTCCTGGATTCATTGATTTTTTGGAGGGTTTTTTGTGTCTCTATCTCCTTCAGTTCTGCTGTGATCTTAGTTATTTGTTGTCTTCTGCTAGCTTTTGAATTTGTTTGCTCTTGCTTCTCTAGTTCTTTTAATTGTGATGTTAGGGTGTTGATTTTAGATCTTTCCTGCTTTCCCATGTGGGCATTTAGTGCTATAAATTTTCCTCTACACACTGCTTTAAATGCATTCCAGAAATTCTGCTGCACTGTGTCTTTGTTCTCATTGGTTTCAAAGAACATCTTTATTTCTGCCTTCATTTCGTTATTTGCCCAGTAGTCATTCAGGAGAAGGTTGTTCAGTTTCCAGGTAGTTATGTGGTGTTGATGAGTTTCTTTTTTTTTCTTTTTCTTTTTCTTTTCTTTTTTTTTTTTTTTTTTGAGATGGAGCCTTGCTCTGTCACCCAGGTTGGAGTGCAGTGGTGCAATCTCAGCTCACTGCAAGCTCCGCCTCCTGGGTTCACACCATTCTCCTGCCTCAGCCTCCCAAGTAGCTGGGACTACAGGCGCCCGCCACCATGCCTGGCTAAATTTTTTGTATTTTTAGTAGAGATGGGGTTTTACCATGTTAGCCAGGATGGTCTCAATCTCCTGACCTCGTGACCCACCCGCCTTGGCCTCCGAAAGTGCTGGAATTACAGGCGTGAGCCACTGCGCCTGGCCTTGATGAGTTTCTTAATCCTGAGTTCTAATTTGATTGCACTGTGGTCTGAGAGACCATTTGTTATGATTTCTGTCTTTTGCATTTGCTGAGGAGTGTTTTACTTCCAATTATGTGGTCAGTTTTAGAATAACTGCCATGTGGTGCTGAGAAGAATGTATATTCTGTTGATTTGGGGTGGAGAGTTCCGTAGATGTCTATTAAGTTCACTTGGTCCACAGCTGAGTTCAAGTCCTGCATATCCTTGTTAATTTTCTGTCTTGTTGATCTGTCTAATATTGACAACGGGGTGTTGAAGTCTCCCACTATTATTGTGTGGGAGTCTAAGTCTCTTTGTAGGTTTCTAAGAACTTACTTTATGAATTTGGGTGTTCCTGTATTGGGTCCATATATATTTACGATGGTTAGCTCTTCTTGTTGCATTGATCCCTTTAACATTATGTAATGCCCTTCTTTGTCTCTTTTGCTTTTTGTCAGTTAAAGTCTGTTTTTTCAGAGACTAGGATTGCAACCCCTGCTTTTTTTTCTTATTATTGCTTTCCATTTCCTTGGTAAATATTCCTCCATCCCTTTGTTTTGAGCCTATGTATGTCTTTGCCCGTGAGATGGGTCTCCTGCATACAGCACACCAATAGGTCTTGACTATCCAATTTGCCAGTCTGTGTCTTTTAATTGGGGCATTTAGCCCATTTACATTTAAGGTTAATATTGTTATGTGTGAATTTGATCCTGACATTATGATGCTAGCTGGTTATTCTGTCTGTTAGCTGATGCAGTTTCTTCATAGCTTCGATGCTCTTTACAATTTGGTATGTTTTTGCAGTGGCTGGTACTGGTTGTTCCTTTCCATGTTTAGTGCTTCCTTCAGGAGCTCTTGTAGGAGAGGCCTGATGGTGACAAAATATCTCAGCATTTCCTTGTCTGTAAAGGATTTTATTTCTCCTTTGCTTATGAAGCTTAGTTTGGTTGGATATGAAATTCTGGGTTGAAAATTCTTTTCTTTAAGAATGTTGAATATTGGCCCCCACTCTCTTCTGGCTTTTAGGGTTTCTGCCGAGAGATCTGCTGTTAGTCTGATGGGCTTCCCTTTGTGGGTAGCCCGACCTTTCTCTCAGGTTGCCCTTAACATTTTTTCCTTCATTTCAACCTTGGTGAATCTGACAATATGTGTCTTGGTGTTGCTGTTCTCGAGGAGTATCTTTATGGTGTTCTGTGTATTTCCTGAATTTGAATGTTGGCCTGCCTTGCTAGGTTGGGGATTTTCCTGGATAATATCCTGAAGAGTGTTTTCCAACTTGGTTCCATTCTCCCCATCACTTTCAGGTACACCAATCAAACGTAGATTTGGCCTTTTCACATAGTCCCATACTTCTTGGAGGCTTTGTTCATTTCTTTTCACTCTTTTTTCTCTAATCTTGTTTTCTTGCTTTATTTCATTGAGTTGATCTTCAATGTCTGATATCCTTTCTTCTGCATGATCAGTTTGGCTATTGATACTTGTGTATGCTTCACGAAGTTCTTGTGCTGTGTTTTTCAGCTCCATCAGGTCATTTATGTTCTTCTCTAAACTGGTTATTCTAGTTAGCAATTCGTCTAACCTTTTTTCAAGGTTCTTAGCTTCCTTGCATTAGGTTAGAACATGCTCCTTTACCTTGGAGGAGTTTGTTATTACCCACCTTCTGAAGCCTGCTTCTGTCAGTTAATCAAATTCATTCTCCATCCAGTTTTGTTCCCTTGCTGGTGAGGAGTTGTGATCCTTTGTAGGAGAAGAGGTGTTTTGGTTTTTGGAATTTTCAGCCTTTTTGCTCTGGTTTCTCCCCATCTTCATGGATTTGTCTACCTTTGGTCTTTGAAGTCGGTGACCTTCGGATGGGGTCTCTGAGTGGACATCCTTTTTGTTGGTGTTGATACTATTCCTTTCTGTTTGTTAGTTTTCCTTCTAACAGTCAGGCCCCTCTCCAGCAGGTCTGCTGGAGTTTGCTGGAGGTCCGCTCCAGACCGTTTGCCTGGGTATCACCAGTGGAGGCTGCAGAGCAGCAAAGGTTGCTGCCTGTTCCTTTGGAAGCTTTGTCCCAGAGGGGCACCTGCCAGATGCCAGCCAATGCTGTCCTGTATGTGGTCTCTGTCGGCCCCTACATGGGTCCCAGGGACCCACTGGGAGGTGTTTCCTAGTCAGGATACATGGGGGTCAGGGACACACTTGAGGAGGCAGTCTGTCCCTTATCAGAGCTTGAACACTGTGCTGGTTGATCCGCTGCTGTCTTCAGAGCTGCCAGGTAGGGACGTTTAAGTCTGTTGGAGCTGCGCCCATAACCACCCCTTTCCCCAGGTGCTTTGTCCCAGGGAGGTGGAAGTTTTATCTATAAGTCCCTGACTGGGGCTGCTGGCTTTTTTTCAGAGGTGTCCTGCCCAGAGAGGAGGTAGTCTGGCTGCAGGGGCCTTGCTGAGCTGGGGTGGGCTCCGCCCAGTTTCAACTTCCCAGCGGCTTTGTTTACACTGTGAGGGTGAAACCGCCTACTCAAGCCTCAGCAATGGTGGATGCCTCTTCCCCCACCAAGCTCAAGCATCCCAGGTTAGCTCAAACTGCTGTGCTAACCATGAGACTTTCAAGCCAGTGGATCTTGAGCTTACTGGGCTCCATGGGGGTGGGACCTGCTGAGCCAGACCCCTTGGCTCCCTGGCTTCAGCCCCCTTTCCAGGGGAGTGAATGGTTCTGTCTTGCTGGTGTTCCAGGCGCCACTGGGGTATGAAGAAAAACTCCTGCAGCTAGCTTGGTGTCAGCTCAAACGGCCGCCCAGTTTTGTGCTGGAAACCCAGGGCCCCGGTGGCGTGGGCAGCGAAAGGAATCTCCTGGTCTGCAGGTTGTGAAGACTGTGTTAAAAGTGCAGTATCTGGGCCGGAGTGCACGGTACAGTCCCTAATGGCTTCCCTTGGCTAGGAGAGGGATTTCCCCATCCCCTTGCATTTCCCAGGTGAGGTGACGCCCCACCCTGCTTTGGCTCATCCTCCTTGGGCTGCACCCACTGTCCAACTAGTCCCAATGAGATGAACCTGGTACCTCAGTTGGAAATGCGGAAATCACCCACCTTCTGCGTCAATCTTGCTGGGAGCTGCAGACCAGAGCTGTTCCTATTCGTCCATCTTGCCAGCCAAGGCCAACTTTTTTTTTTTTTTTTTTTTTAGATGGAGTCTCGCTCTGTTGCCCTGGCTAGAGTGCAGTGGCATAATCTCAGCTCACTGCACGCTCCACGAGGTCAACTTTTTTAGATCTCACATATGAGTGAGAACATGTGATATTTGTCAGAAACATCTATTTTAGAAATCACTTATGTATCTGTGTTTCTAAAGATTTGTAGTTTTCTTCTTGCTGGCTCTAAAGGTTTATTTTTCAGTTTATTCCTAGTTTTGTTGTCATTAATGAGGTTGTAAATTTTTTTTCTAATTGGTTATTAGTTATATATAAAAATTATTTTTATGTTTATTTTATAACTGACCTTCATTTAGTTTTAACTAATATGTGACATAAATTATACACTGTTTAAAATAGCTGTATCATATTCAATTTATACACCATTTCTAGACTTAAAAGAACAATTAGATCTTTAACTTGAGATGCTTCACCTACTAGGTGAAGATCTCTATATGCCTCATTTTTTTTTTTTTTGTCAGTGGTAAGACGATCTGAAACAATGTATGACCTGTAAATTATTACCCTTGAACCTATCATGCTTTGGATATGAAATTAGAGGATATTGTTTATTGTAACTGAGTGATTACATTTTATATACATTTTTTCTACTACACTTTGTTGTAAATACTTGACCCCAGAACCAGTTTATAGGATTCTGATTGTAAAACACATGAATATATTGTTTAAACTGGTTTTATGAAGTTTTTGATATACTATAACAAAGTATTTTTAAGATTCCAAGGTCTAGAGAAGAAAAAGATACAAATTGGTTATAAATCTAATATTAAATCTTAATATTAAATCTAATATTAAGTCTGCTTTTTTTATTATACTTTAAGTTCTGGGGTACATGTACAGAACGTGCAGGCTTGTTACATAGGTATACATGTGCCATGGTGGTTTGCTGCACCCATCAACCGTCATCTACATTAGGTATTTCTCCTAATGCTATCCCTCCCCTAGCCCCCCACCCCCAACAGGCCCAAGAATACAGTGCATTTTAAAGAAAGATTTTTTCATCTCCAGTATAATTGCAAATAAGATGTTGTAACTTGAATTGTCTCAACTGACAACTTGGAGACTCATTTTCACTTTTTCACAAAATCCTATTGTTTCAGTGAGACAAATGACAAAAGCAGTAATACAAAAGCAATAATCTGTCCAAAGAAACACAGAGAAAAGAACATATTATTTTATACTGTTTTGCTTATATTGTTTTGCTTTTTTTTTAACAAAAGGAAACATGGTATTATCTTGCAGTTTATGACTAACATAGTATAATACTCATTTGCTTTTTATGAAGTGCCACAGAAATTTCTAACATAAATTGAAGAAAATGTGGATGTTTTGACACCAAAATTTTGTGTGTGTGTGTGTATTTCTGAGCTGGCACAGCCATGTGCAGCATTTGGTGGTGGTTCTTTTCATAGGATGAGCTGTTAGCCAGCTTCACAGAACCTTGGATATCATGTAGCCTAGTTCCTCCTCTTGGTGCTCCCATCTCTCAACACTGTTTGCTTTCAGTTCGTTCATGCAAGTTCAATGAAATCACCTTAACTTAGATTCTTCTTTTGCATGTTCATGATATCATAATAATTATTTTAAAAAACCCCAATTGCCCTGTTTTTCTTAGCTCTTCACCTGAAAGACTATGAAGACATCATCCCTCCTGTGGAGATCTACTCTCTGCTAGCACTCTGCGCATGCGCCAGCAGAGCCTTTGGGACTTGTTCAAAAGCTTTCATTAAACTTAAATCTTTAGAGACCCTCAGTTCAGAACAGAAACAGCAGTATGAAGACCTTGCTTTAGAAATCTTCACCAAACATACTTCAAAAGATAACAGAAAACCTGAATTGGACAGCCTTATGGAAGGGTAGGCTAATTTTAATTAGTGGATGCCATTCTATCTTATTAGAAGCTTGGATTTCTAGATGTACAATGTTTAATGTAGGAATTAAAGCACTGAATTTTGAAGCAATTCACATTAACATTATACCCTATTTTATTTATTTTTACAAGTGTATTCATGCTTTATTTTGTCATTGTAAGAAAGGTTTTTTCTTGAAATAACTTTTTTAAATGAAAGTATTTGATGTTCATCTCAGAAGTTTTATTCTTTAGGTTTTTTTTAAGTGTATTAAATAAAGTTAGACTAATGAGAAGTTTTAAAGTATAATGAATTGTTTCTCCCCGTTTTACAGTGGAGAAGGGAAACTGCCAACATGCGTTGCCACAGGAAGCCCAATCACTGAGTATCAATTCTGGATGTGCAGTGTATGCAAACACGGTGTCCTTGCTCAGGAAATAAGCCACTACAGCTTCTGCCCCTTATGCCATAGTCCAGTGGGATAAAGGAATGATAAACTGTATATAACTGTAAAATATATGTAGCATATATACATGGCTATATGCTGTATATGTAATAAGGTTTATTTCTGTGAGTTTTGTATGAAAATCAGCCTCATTATTTATAGTTGAATTTTTGCACAAAATATATGTTAATAAAATAATTTTTATGGCAATACAACTGTGAAATAATAAGGCCGATTTTCATATAAATGTATGAAAATCAACCATGTTTTCTCTCACCCTCTCTCTTTTGTTTATCTTGTTTTTGGTTACATGATACCATGGAAATATTCCAAATAAATTTTTTTCTCACAGTGTCAAGGTAACTGAATTCATTAAAAAATCTTGAAGGGAGTAGGGAGTGGGGGAAGCATGGGAGTGGGGCAAAGTTGAATTTAGAGAATTTTTATAACCCATGTTACAAGGAAGTTAAACAATTGTAATAATGAAATGAGCTTTCTCTATAGCCATATTTAATTAAATAAGTGTCGAATGTCTTCTTTATTGTATTTTCAGAAGTGAGGCGATGGCATTTTAAGACATTTTTTACAATCTGAATTGTTTCTAATAGCCCTATTCTTCTATTTTAAAACCTGTCCTTTTAGTCTCATTTAAGAGATGGCATTTGGAATTTACACTTTCATATGATTGTGCAGAAAACTTGCCTCTATTTATAATGAAGATAACTTAAACAGAAATATCCATTTTGTAGTTATAGCTTCTGTTGAAACATTGTCACTAAGTTGGACCGTTTATTTACACAAGTATTGTTGAGGGAGTGATTTTTTCTTGATATGCGTCTGTTTTCATTTATTATTAATTTGAAAGATAAACAGTTGTGATCCATAATGGATCATTTCTTATGTCTTTTACATAGCTAATAATGTTCTCTGTTTATTTCTCATGAATTCCCATTTTGTGGCTAAAGACCAGACCTTTGCACTATTTCATCAAGATTATTTTATTGAGGTTTGGCTTACATATAGTAGAGGCAATACATAGAGATACGCAACTTTGTTTTTGCAGCTACAATACACTTTCTCAATCTCATATGTTTTTGTCTTGTAGAGACAGAGACAAGTTCAGCATGTTGCAGATTGGGAATAGTGAGCTATGAGAAGAGATTTAGAGCCTAGATGAGCTTAGGATAGAGAGTGGGCTCATTGGCCTAAATAAAAAGAGAAGACCAGAAGTCTTTGAGGTCTCTGTCTCTATTCATGCGCCTCGTGGAAAATTACCTTGGTACAATGGTAGCCTCTAAATAGACTGCCTCGCAAGCTATTCCAGAGGTCATGGAACAGAAAGCCTTATAAACCAAATAAAAATTCTCAAAATACATTGGTTTATTGAACCAATTTGCAATACACAGTGAGGAACAAGGAGAAAGCAATGATAGATTAACACTGTTAGTGTAACGTGCCAGTGGAGTGGAAAGACCGCAACACCTGAATCCTGGGTTTTGTAATGTTTTTATGTCCTGACTCACATTCTGTCACATACGCTTTCCCCTAATAGTCGGGTTACAAAAAGGACCAGAGTGGCCGCTTGAGCCAGATGACTCAATCAGATGAAATGTGCCTGAGGCCAACGATGTACACTTGCTCTATAGAAGGGTGTCAGGGGCAAGTACACTTCACCACAGCAATAGCTTGCCTATTAGTCTGCTGAGCAGTCATGAATTTTATTGTATTTCTTGGGTAAGGACAGGCCAGAATGAGTGTCACCAGTGGGTAATTGAATCAACTTCTCACACATACTGAAGGCTTTATATGTCTCATGCATACTTAGTGTATCATGAATATTTGGTATCTTTGTGGCTTTTCATATTTTTAGTGCTTCATGAATATTTGGTATCTCTTGCTCCTTTCTATCTGTGGTCACACATACACGCTCTATTAACTTTGCCTAATAAGTCTCCTAGGTTACTAACTTACTTACCTAAATGTAACACAATGAATTCCAGCTTTCTCATTTGTTCTATACCAGAATGGGAAATTTCCCCAAATCAGAAAATCACATCCTAACAAAGAAGTCTGTCTAAGACAGTACATCTCCTGTTGAACTTGCATCTTTCCACAGGACTTTCTGTTTTTAGGGATGAGACTATTCTCTGCTTCATCAAGGAAAGAGAAATGTTCAGGGTTGTAGGGATGGCACACTTATTAGTTCTGCCTGTCTGAAAGGTTCCTGCAGGACAGTTTGGTCAGAGCTGCAATTCTTAGTCCATGGTCTAATGCTTGAGTATCTCTTCTTTCCCTTTCCTGTCTCAGGAATCAGCTGAGAATTCATTCGATTGTCATGCCTCTAGCCCCTTACTGTGATTTGTTGGTTGCACTTTCATTTGCTTTAGTTCTAGAATCACCTGTTGACTCCTCAGACTTCACCTAACTTTGGAAACTCTCTTTTGGAGGCTTCTCATTTCCCCCTAATTCTGTGCTGCCTGAGCCCTAGAATTTTCCCACCAACGAATTATTCCAGGTAGATCCTAAGTTGCTGGATCTAGTTGATATTTAAACAATATCTAGTTGATATTTCTCATTCAGTTGGATCCAGAAACCAGTATCTCTAAAAACAACCTCTCATACCTTGTGGACCTAATTTTGTGTGCGTGTGTGTGTGCGCGCATATGTATATAGACAGGCACATCTTTTTTACTTTTGTAAAAGCTTATGCCTCTTTGGTATCTATATCTGTGAAAGTTTTAATGATCTGCCATAATGTCTTGGGGACCTTTGTCTTCTGTGTAAATGGTACTAGAGAAAACACCTATATTATGAGTCAATCTAGTTGGTTTTATTCGACATGAAGGAAATTTCCAGATAACAACACTAACAAACTCTCCCTTGACTAGGGGGACAAAGAAAAGCAAAACTGACCATAAAAAACAATTACCTGGTGAGAAGTTGCATAAACAGAATTAGGTAGTATATTGAAGACAGCATCATTAAACAGTTATGTTGTTCTCCTTGCAAAAAACATGTACTGACTTCCCGTTGAGTAATGCCAAGTTGTTTTTTTTATTATAAAACTTGCCCTTCATTACATGTTTCAAAGTGGTGTGGTGGGCCAAAATATTGAAATGATGGAACTGACTGATAAAGCTGTACAAATAAGCAGTGTGCCTAACAAGCAACACAGTAATGTTGACATGCTTAATTCACAAATGCTAATTTCATTATAAATTGTTTTGCTAAAATACACTTTGAAACTATTTTTCTGTATTCCAAGAGCTGAGATCTTAGATTTTATGTAGTATTAAGTGAAAAAATACGAAAATAATAAACATTGAAGAAAAAAATAACTTGTGTTTATTCCACGTTTTCTTTATCTATAACTTACGGAGAACACGGTGTTTGCTGTGTCTTCATTTAAGTATTCTGATGGGGGTTGGTTAGGAGGGTATTGGGCTCCAGAGTGGAGAAGGGGAAAAGGGAGCAGGAGGTACAATAGATATACAATACCACTTTTGCTACCAAACAAGGGGGGAAAAACCCCAACAACCTTCCAGAGGCACTAGGCAAATGTCAGATATTGGAGGTTGCTGTGAGCTACTCCTTAATGGTCATGCTGAGTTCTCATTTAGGAACGAAGGAAATTATGTCCTACTAGACCTATAAGAGAAAATAAAGAATACTACATTTGATAATGTAGCTCCAAGATTTTCTACTCAGTTTCAAAATGAAAATAGGAATATTGTATTGCCTCTACTGTCTATTTTAAAGACCATTTTCTCAATTCATTTTTTTCTCTAAGAAACTAATATTTACTGGTTTTTTTTTTTTTGAATATAAAAAGCAGGCCAGGCGCAGTGGCTCACGCCTATAATCCCAGCACTTTGGGAGGCTGAGGCGGGCGGATCACGACGTCAGGAGATTGAGACCATCCTGGCTAACGTGGTGAAACCCCGTCTCTACTAAAAATACAAAAAATTAGCTGGGCGTGGTGGCGGACGCCTGTAGTCCCAGCTACTTGGGAGGCTGAGGCAGGAGAATGGCATGAACCCGGGAGGCAGAGCTTGCAGTGAGCCAAGATAGTGCCACTGCACTCCAGCCTGGGCGACAGAGCAAGACTCCGTCTCAAAAAATAATAATAATTAAAAAAAAAAGCAAAAATGTTCATGGCAGAAATTTTCAAAAATACATAACGGTATAGATGAGAAAGTAAAATTAGTTGATCTTTATAAATAAAATATTTTAGTTGAATGTAAGAGATGAAAAAAACTGAAGTGACACTGAAGGAATTTGTATAATTGGTTTCTTCGTACCAAAATCAGTATTTGTTCTTAAGAGATTTCTTTAAAATTAAAAGAAAGTAGACATTAAAAGGCTTTGGGAAGCCAAGGCAGGCGGATCACAAGGTCGGGAGTTTGAGACCAGCCTGGCCAATATGGTGAAACCCTGTCTCTACTAAAAATACTAAAATTAGGCAGGCATGGTGGCGGGTTCCTGTAGCCCCAGCTACCTGGGAGGCTGAGGCGGGAGAATCGCTTGAACCTGGGAGGCGGAGGTTGCAGTGAGCCAAGATTGTGCCACTACACTCCAGCCTGGGTGACAAAGCAAGACTCTGTCTAAACAAAAAAACAAAACAAAATTATTTAGCTAATTTATTGTTTGGCAGTTTAAATTTCTAGGTAGTAAAATTGAGAGAGATTTAGAAAAAATGAGATGCTTCTACACACTACAATGGCTAAAATTGACAAGAGAAATAGTGAGGGTATAGAACAGCTGAAACCCTCATACATTGCTGATGGAAATGCAAAACAGTACACTCACTTGGGAAAAGTTTGGAAGTTTCTTCTAAATTTAAATATACACTTAACATAGAACCCAGAAATCTCACTCTTAGGAATTTACCCAGAAGAAATCAAAACACATTTACAGGAAGACTTGAATGCAAATGTACGTAAGTTTTATTTATAGTAGACAGAAACTGGAAAGAAACCAAATATCCATTAATATGTGAATGTATAAACAAATTGTGGACTATCCACACAATGAAATACTACTCAGCAATAAAAAGGAATGAACTGACACAAGTAACAACATAGATGAATCTTAAAAGCATTGTGCTACGTGCAAGAAGCCAGATATAGAAGACAGCATACTGTATGATGTTATTTATATGAAATTCCAGAAAAGACAAAATCATAGAAAGTAGTGCCTGAGATCAGGGAGAAGGGTAGGTGATTGACTTCAAAGGTATACAAAGGAGCATTGTGGGATGATAGAAATGTTCCATATCTTGGTTTTGGTGATGATTACATGACTCCACATTTGTTAAAACTCATCAAATTGCCCATTTAACATTGGTAGTTTTATTTTTTTAATAAGAGATTTCTATTTTAGTTGAATTTAACAGAAGAAAAAGAAACTGAGGTGAGACTGAATAAATTGCTGTATTATGTCTTTATGCTGAGAGATATCAGCTCCTAAGAGATTTCTCTAAAGTTAAAAGAAATTAATGTCAATGATACCTCCAGCTGATTGAAGTCCACCCTTTCCACACTGATGTGCAATTATATGGGAAAAAAATCAAGTCCATATATGTAGGTAACAATTTCTGATTTCTTTTTCTGTTCCATTGATCTGTTTGTCTTTCTTTGGCCCAAAGCAGAATGTCTCAGTTATTATAGTTTTTAAAATAGGTCCTGCTATCTGGTACAAGTCCTCCTTTGTTTTTCTTCTTCAAAAATGTTTTGTCACTCTCAGTCCTTTGCACTTCTTTTCTACATATACAACTATATAACCATGTTTAATGACTGCTTTTTTTAAAAAAAATACTTCTCAATTGTCATGTCTTTCATTTCTTTTTATCATCTTATTGCACTGGCTAGGATACCCAATACAATGCTGAATAATTAAAGTGATGATACTGGGCATTCTTGTCTTATTCTTAATCTCAAAGGAAATTTTTCAATATTTTAAGAAATCATTGCTTATTATATTTTCTGTAGACATTTTGTCGGTAGGTTTTAATAAGTATGTCTTCTTGTCCTAGTTTGCTAAGGAGTTGAATTTTATTAACTGCATTTTCTACATCTGTTGAGATTTTTCTTCAATTTGTTGATGTGGTGAGTTAAGTACTACAAGCAAGAATACTTGATAATGCTAAAAACTGCTATTCACAGTGACAATGTAACATGTAAGAGTATCTGTAGACATAGATATAACACCTAATATCTATGCTCGTAGCAACCACCTTTATAAAGCAGAAACTGCAGTGGATGCAACAAAATCAATAGAAATACAGTAATAATGACTTCAATGCAATGTTGTTGCAACGATCTTTTTACAGAAAACACACTTGCCACTTGATTTTTCCATATTTTTTATGTGATGAAATAGACATAGCACAAAATTTACTATCTTAATCATTTTTAAATTTTTTTTAAATTTTTTACAAGACGTGGTCTAGCTCTGTCACCCAGGCTGGAGTGCAGTGGCACAATCATAGCTCACTGCAGCCTCAAACTCCTTAGCACAGTAATCCTCCCACCTCAGCTTCCCAAAGTGCTGGCATTACAGGCATGAGATCCTGCACCTTGCCTATCTTAATCATTTTTAAGTGTACAGTTAAAGTGGCATTAACTATATTTATTAAGTACATTCATATTGTTCATATTCCACCACCACCACCACCACCACCACCACCACCACCACCACCACCACCACCATCCATCTTCAGAATTCTTTATCTTGCAAAACTGAAACTGTATGCTCATTGAACAATAACTCCCTATCCCCCTTAAAGCTGTCCCTGGCAACCACATTCTACTTTCTGTCTCTATGAATTTGACTACTCTGGGTACCTCATAAAAATAGAATCATTCAGTCTTTTTGTGGCTGGCTTAATTCACTTCATGTAATGTCCTCAAGTTTCATCCATGTTGTAGCACGTGGCAGAATTTGTTCTTTTTAAGACTGAATAATATTCCATTGTATGAGTATACCATATTTCGCTTATCCACTCATCTGTTGATAGACACTTGGATTGCTTCCACATTTTACCTAGTGTGAACAATACCGCTATGAACCTGGATGTGTAAATATCTCTTTAAGACCATGCTGTCAGATATTTTGGGTATATACTTAGAAGTGGAATTGCTGAATCAAATGGTTATTCTTAGTATTTGAAGAATTGTCACACCATGTGGTTGCACCATTTTACATTCTCACCAATAGTGCATAAAGATTCCAGTTTCTTCACATCCTCACCAACACTTATTTCTTCTTAATAGTTTCCATCCTACTGGAGTGGTGAGAAGTGGTATTTGATTGTAGTTTCAATTTGCATTTCCCTAATTATTAGTGACGTTGAGCATTTTTTCATGTTCTCATTGGCCATATGTGTATCTTCTTTAGAGAAAAGTCTATTCAAATCCTTTGCCCATTTCTGCATTGGATTGTTTTGCTTTATTGTTGTTTTTGGAAGTTCTTTATATAGTGTGGGTATTAATCCCTTATCAGATACATGACTTGTAAATATTCTGTTTTTTACTCTGATAGTGTCTTTTCATGCACAAAGGTTTTTAAATTCTTGTCAAGCCCAATTTGTGTAGTTTTTTCTTTTGTTGCCTGTGCCATTGATGTCATATTCACAAAATCATTGCCAAATTCAGTGTTGTTAAGCTTTTGCCATATGTTTTTTCCTAAGAGTTTGTAATTTTAGTTCTTATATTTAGGTCATGATCTATTTTAATTTTTGTATATGGTGTAAGAGACCAGCTTCATTCTTTTGTAGTGGATATCCAATTTTCCTAGCACCATTTGTTTAAAAAACTGTCTTTATGCCAATAACACACTTGTTTTGGGTAATGCAGCTTTGCAGTAAGTTTTGAAATCAGGAAGTGAGTCCTTAAACTTTGTTCTTTTTCCAAAATTGTTTTGGCTATTTGGGAGTCCTTGTAATTCCATATGAATTTGAGGATGGAGTTTTCTATTTCTGCAGAAACATCATTGGGATTTTGATAAGGATTCCATAGAATCTGAAGATTGATTTATATAATATTAACATCTAAACAATATTAAGTCTTCTAATCCATGTACATGAGATGTCTTTCCATTTATGTCTTCTTCAATTTCTTTTAGCAATGTTTTATAGTTTTAATTGTACACATCTTTTACTTTCTTGATTAATTCCTAAATATTTTTTTCTTTTTGATGTTACTGTAGATGGAATTGTTTTCTTTTCTTTCTTTTTTTTTTTTTTGAGACAGAGTCTTGCTCTGTTGCCCAGGCTGGAGTGCAGTGGTGCAAGGCACAATCTTGGCTCCCTGCAACCTCCACTTCCCAGGTTCAAGTGAGTCTCCTGCCTCACCCCCTGAGTAACTGGGATTACAGGTGCCTGCCACCACACCTGGCTAAATTTTGTATTTTTCGTAGATACAGGGTTTTGCCATGTTGGCCAGGCTGGTCTCGAACTCCTGACCTCAAGTGATCCATCCACCTTGGCCTCCAAAAATGTTGGGATTACAGGTGTGAGCCACTGTGCCTGGCTGGAATTGTTTTCTTAATTTCATTTTTGGATAGCTTCATTGTTAGTGAATAAAAATGCAACTGATTTTTGCATGTTGATTTCATATCCTCCTACCTTGCTGAATTCATTAGTTATAACCATTTTTTAAATGGAATCTTAAGAAGGACTGGTGTTGGTTCTTCCTTAAACATTTAGTAGAATTCATCAGTGAAGCCATCAGGTCCAGGGCTTTTCTTTGTCAAGAGGTTATTTTTAGATTACTGATTGAATCTCCTTACAAGTTACAGGTTGATATGGTTTGTGTGTGTCCTCACCCAAATCTCATCTTGAATTGTAGCTCCCATAATTCCCACATGTTGTGGGAGGGAGCCGGTGGGAGAAAAAACTGAATCATGGGGGCAGTTTCCCCCATACTGTTCTCATGGTAGTGACTAAGTCTCACAAAATCTTATGGTTTTATAAGGGATTTCCCCCTTCACTGTTCTCTCATTCTCTCTTGCCTGCTGCCATGTAAGACGTGCTGTTTGCCTTCTGCCATGATTATAAGGCCTCCCCATCCACGTGGAACTGTGAGTCCATTAAACCTCTTTTTTCTTAAAAACAAAAAAATTACCCAGTCTTGGGTACGTCTTTATTAGCAGTGTGAGAACAGACTAATACACACGTCTATTCATATTTTCTATTTCTTCATGATACAATCTTCGTAGGTTTTTTGTTTCTAGGCATTTGCTCATTTCATGTAGTTACTCCCATTTTTCAGCATACAATTGTTCATAGTACTCTCTTATAATCCTCTTTATTTCTGTAGAATTGATGGTAATGTTCCCATTTTCATTTCTGATTTTAGTAATCTGAGTCTTTTCCTTTTTCGTAGTCAATTTAGCTCAAGTTTTATTAACTTTTTTAATCTTTTTAAGAACCAACTTTTGGTTTTGTTGATTCCATTTTTGTTTTATCTGTGTTTTGATCTTTTATTATTTTCTTCCTCTGCTAGTTTTGTGTTTGCCATTTGTTCTTGATATTTAATGTTAATAAATGTTTTACTTTTTAATAAATCTGTTAATATTCCAACTGTTTTTTAATATAATTCCTTTCCTTTGTAATCCTATGTTTTAAAAACACTTGAAAACATTGAAACGACATAGGCTTCACCACACTTGTAAAGGTGCCATAGCACAAAAAAGGTTAAGAATCTTACTCCTATTTAGAAACCCCCTTCCCAAATCCCCAATTTCCATTACATATCCTGCTATTTTCCTCTTAGATCACTGGTTTTTAGACACATAAATATTCCTGTTATTCCTTGAACAGAACAAAGCAAAACTTCTAGTCAGGTGCGGTGGCTCATGCCTGTAGTCCTAGCACTTTGGGAGGCTGAGGTGGGCAGATGTCTTGAACCCAGGAGTTGGAGATCAGCCTGGACAACATGGGGAAACCCATCACCACAAAAAATACAAAAATTAGCTCACTGCCAACCACTTCCACCCAGAAGGGATTCTTGTGCCTCAGCCTCATGAGTAGCTGGGATTACAGGCACCCGCCACCACGCCCAGCTAATTTTTTGCATTTTTAGTAGAGACGGGGTTTTGCCATGTTGGCCAGGCTGTTATCAAACTCCTGTCCTCAGGTGATCTGCCCGCCTAGGCCTCCCAAAGTGCTGGGATTACAGGCATGAGCCACAGAGCCTGGCCATCTCCACTTTTTCTTATCCCCCAAAAGGATTAACATCCCTGGCTTTATGTAGAATAGTGTACGCTGCCACATCAGTGTTTGAGTCATTCCCCAGAGGAGAGGGGAATCCCCCCTCCATTTTTTTTTTTGCAACATCTTGTCTTCCCTTTGCTGTTGCTTCCCCCAACACACTTGGTTTTGTTCTATCCTGTACTTCAGATTTGTTTTTTGTTTTGTTTTTTTCATATTGAAAAGATGACATTGCTCCAAGAGGCAAAAATAAATGGGAACTGAAAAAAAAAAGCTTTTTATCTTATTTATTTAATCTTTTAATTCACCTGGAATGAATATTATGTCAATTGGGAGCTTAAATGCTTAAATGTATTTTTCCCCAAATGGTTAACTAATCCTCCCAATAGCACTCATTTGAATAATCTGTCCTTTCCCCATATATGTTACATGTCTTTTACAAAATACAGCCTATTTGAGGTATGTTTCTGGGCTTTTGTTCTATTGAGCTGTCCATTTGCTTACACCAGAAATGCCAGTTTATTTTTTTGTAGTCTTGCAATCTTTTAATTTCTACTAGTGCTTTTTAATTTAACCTTAATCCACTGTATTTGTATTTTTTTCAGTGGTGGTAAAAGGAAAAAATTAAAAATCTAATGAAAGCAGCCAAAAGCACACAATTTATGTCCTGTTAAGACTTCCGCATGTAAGTATCATGCTCCAAATATATTTTTCATCTTTACTTTTTATGACGGAAAGGGCTCAAGTACTTTGGGAAGCAAAACAGAATCGAGGGACGCCGAGAAGATACACAGCAGGCATGTAGGGTAGCGTGGTTGGCAACTGTTCTTACAAAATTTTAATTTGAATTATACGTAATGTACGTAATAAATTACTATTTGGATTTCCCTTTGGCATAAACAGCCAGGGAATATAACTAACATCAAAGATCCCAGACTCTCGACACAATATACTACTAATCGTAACACAATTCTAGAGGGTCAAAAAAGGTAGAGAAGTTTGGACCGTGGAACAGACCTGGTGGAATGTCGACACAAAGCGTTTCAGGGTAGACAAAGCCTACTCAGAACACCCTAAACGCGGAGTTTTGCTAAGTTGGGACGCTAAAAGGCAAGGGAATGACAGGACGTCCGCAGGCTAATTCGCCATTAAGAAACAGAACCGCGGCTTCTTCCACCTCCAGCGTCATCGGCCCCCAATTCGCTGTAACAAACGGATAGTGTCTCGCAGCATCAGACAACGGACTTGGAAATCAGTTTGCGACCACGCATCTGCGCCTTTTCTAGGAAAAGAGGAAGGCGGGTCCAACACTGGTAACGGCAGAAACATAGTTCACAAGGGCCACTGCAAACGCCCCGCCAGCAGCGGAACCGTTATCTCGCGAGACGACGGATCCCCATAAGGCACAAACCTAGCGCCAAGGTTGGCTGTCAAGGTAGATTCCAGGGTGTGGAAGTGGCTTTGTGGTGCCACCTCTAACCGCTCGGAGGTCAACCCCCATTCTACACCGAAAACTAGGCCTTGGCTGCTATGGAAGGACAGCGGCAAGAAAGCCACGCAACCCTAACACTCGCCCAGGCTCATTTCAACAATGGAGAGTACGCGGAGGCCGAGGCACTGTACTCCGCTTACATTCGCCGGTGCGCTTGCGCGGCCTCCAGCGACGAGAGTCCCGGGAGGTAACTATCGCGAGACCTGGGGCCGCGGCGACCCCGGGTGGAGGCGACGTTGGGGTTGTTTGGGCTCCTATCTTTGCCTCTGGAGCTCACGGTCGGCGCTTGTCATAACCCAGCACTAGGACTGAGCGGGCGGACGTTCGTCTTTCTAGAAAGGCCTAGGCGAGGCCTAGGACGAGGGCGGCGGAGAACGCGGGGAGAAGCCCACCCGTGAGGAGCCAGCTGCCGCGACGGTGCGGAGAGATTTCCGGGAACCAAGCCCTCTGCGCGATCCTCGGGCGCGGGCCGCCGCCTCTCACCCCGCCGTCTCTCCTTCCACGTTCCTCATTCGCACCCAGAGACTTAGGACAGATAGGAATTTTCCACTCGTGATTTTAGCTGGCGGGAAATCCGCGACCTGGGAAGGGAAGGGGTCACGGCTGCGTAGGGCCACAGTACCGCGACTCCCATCTCAGTGTCACGGCGCAGGCTCTTGGTGGTGTTTTTCACTTGTGAAAAACGTTTAAATATGTGGAAGAGAGCATAACGAACGTCTAGGTGTTTATCACTTGGCTTAAGCATTATCAGTTTACCTATTGTATTCATCCATGGATGTTTCAGAAGGAACCACCATGTCATCATCACATAGTTACTTAATATCAAGTCGTCAGTGTTGGAACCATTCTGATCGACTAATAAGGTGTTTTGTTCTTTGGTTCCCTTTTCGCAGTTAGTTCAAGTCAGGATACACATCAAGTCTTTTTAAGTCTCTTCTCCACCTTCCCCTCTTTATTTGTTGAGGAAACCGATTCTTGTGTCCTTTGAATTTCCGTGTTTTGGACTTGCTGACTGAATCTCTTCTGTCGTTTAATGTGGTCATCTGTCTCATATTGCTGTGAATTGGTGGTTAAACCTTGAGGTTTGATCCAATTGAATTCAGATTCAATATCATGGCAAGAATACTTTTTAGGTGGGTGTGTGTACTTTCACCAGGAAGCACATAACGATTCGCTGACTTTCTCTTTGTGATGTGAGCGGCTTCACCTGTTACTGTCTGCTTGCCCAAAGCATCTTTTCGGCTTGTGCCTGGATGTGTAGCATTTGTTTTTACTCCAAGTCTTGCCTCGACTGGGCTTGTTGATGGTATGGAGTGGATCAGGATGAGAAAAGAACAGAGGGGTTGGTTGAACAGCTTTTTGAATAGTTGTGAGTTGTCTGTTGTGGATTTGAGTTTTCTGGACAGGATGCCAGCTTGTCTTTTGTATGAGGCTTAACTAAACACTAAGGACTTGATTCTTACCCTGTTTGTTACGCTACATGGAATTAAACCAGAAAGAAAATTGCCTTCTCATTTCAATAACACACAAGAATAATAATAGAAGTTTCTGAACAGGCAATAAGATGATACCATCTACTTTCCTCAGTGCACCTCCCCCATAAAAAAGATAAGTAAACATAGAAAGCGAAACTATTCATGTTTCAAGCTCTAAGAGTAGACTTACCTAGTAGATTTTAAAAAGTATTTATCAGCATCAGGTATGCTGTTGCTGTCTAGTCTTGTTATTCTTCCTTCTTTGCACCTCTCAGCCTAAGAACACAAGTGTCTGTAGCATATATAATAGCTATGCCTTACCAGCACAGGAAAGACAGTTTGTCATAGCGCAGTAGAAGGGAGTTCATCATGCCTGAATTCCAGTCTTGGCACTGCCACATGGCTAATGTCTCAGCCTCAGTTTTTCATCTGTAAAATAAGCTTTTGATAAAATTCTAGGAACTCAAGGATTGAAACTGAATTCTGTCATTTCAACTTTTTCCCTTCAATTTATCTTTTGGAGCTTACATTTATTTTCTAAGTATTGGGTCACTAAATCATTTTGAAACAATATTTGCAATTTTTGAATGCCTTTCATTCTGAATGGTTTGTGACGTTTTCTTTTAATATCTAAAGTATAGCTTTAGTCATAAACCTAATTTCCAAAGTGTGTGTGTATATATATACACACACTTTATATATAAAAAATATATATACACACACTTTATATATATATAAAAAATATTTTTTTTTGCGAAAGTTAGCAAATCCTAAAAATTCACATTTGGGTTAGGTAACTTGAATGAATTCCATTATAATAAATACTATCATTACAAAAATTTTAATATTACAGAAAATTTCGGCTTCAACTGTTAGTCCATTTCTTTAAAATATGAAACAAAATTTCCACATGAAAACGATTTTAGAATTTGATTTAATGAGATCTAATTCTAAGTCTAACATTTTATGATTCTCTATATTACGAATATATAATTAGTATTAAAAACTTATAACAATAATTTTGAAACTTCGATTTAATGACTAAAACCTTACTGGCATCCTGAGATTGCTTTTTTCTTTAAACTCTCTACTGGGAGCAGTTCAACTAGTGTCATGTCACACATAGGTGAAGGGGAGTGGTACCGTCTTGTAATCTAGGTTTTAACGGGGGTGCTTAGTGGCATCCAGAAGTATCCCTACATCCAGTCTCCATCACAGCTCATAGAATAGACGTTTTCTAAAATTGCGACAGTTCCTCTCCATCGTTAGCAAACTTGGTTTGAAGGAGGCCCTTGGGCTGTGAGTGCCTCTTAGGGTAGCAGTAGTTACAGTCCCTGTCTGAAATCTCAAGGATCAAGATATTAAGAGAAGTAGCTTTTATTTACACTAACTGCCTTCACAGATACTTTCGGAGGACTATACTTTTTACTACGGGGTATTACAAAGAAGTGACAGATGAATTCTCTGTTTGGTTCTAATTTGAGAATTGCTTTGGGAAAAAAGAAAGGGAAACAGAATCATCCCTGACTCAGAGCAGAGGCACTAATGTTCTCTGTGCAGACTATTTGTCCTGTGCAGAGAAAGGTTCAAGGCAGCCAGGGGCTGTGACCTGTTGAGCTGGTGGCTGGTCAGAGCTACCTGGCTGTACAGCCCAGGAATGGCTGCTAATTTAAAGCTCTTTGGGCAACCTCTAGTTCCCTCAGGTGCAGAGCCAGTTCTGCACAAAGGACATCAAAATTGACTGGAGCCCTGAGGGGGTCTAAAGGAGCCCACCCTCCTAGCAGGAAGCCAGCCTGGCATTGGGGAGGATGCCAGCTGAGGCTGGAGGGAGGGCAACTCTGTCCCCAGAGATAACTTCCTGGGGATCGTAGCATGTTGAATTTTCACTTAGCGTTAACTTTAGTTTTTTATTGGTGGAAAATGATTTCAAATCTTATTGTTTTAAGATCACTTAAAAATTTGAGAATGAAATTGATTCACATTGTGACATATCCATAGCAAACTCGGGCTTTGGGCTGGCTTTCCCTCTTTGCTTAGTATTTATCTGTTCTGTCTTCTTTGCCCTGCTGGTGTGTGCTTAGAAAAATGAACAATCATTTTAATGTTATATTCAGCAGAACAAATTGGCAGTGAACACACTGTAAAGTTAGTATGCTTTTCAGGTTGACATTGCAGTGGTATAACCCTACAAAAGTAGATAACAGGGTTAAACAAAAATTGATTTTAGCTCTTTATTTGTACGTTTTTTCTTCAGCTTGGATTTTCAGTGTTGATGCTGCATGTTATAGGCTGTGAAGTTTGACAATACCCAAAAGAGAATGAAAGTGGAAATGAGAGGAATTTGGTAACACGGTGTTTTTAATGTGAACTTTTTGTTTAAAGCAAATGCAGCCCTGAGGATTTGGCTACTGCATATAACAACAGGGGGCAAATCAAGTACTTCAGGGTTGATTTTTATGAAGCCATGGATGACTACACATCTGCCATAGAAGTCCAACCCAATTTTGAAGTTCCATATTACAACAGAGGGTTGATACTGTATAGGCTGGGTAAGAATTTTTTTTCTTTTTGAGTTTTGTCATTGACTGTATTCTGTTATTTCAGAGCTTTCAAATGTTGTAAAACTAACGTGGTAATCAAATTTTAAAGTTCTGTGAAATTTAGGTTTAGAGCTTGGAACAAAGGAAGTGTCCCTGAGTTTATTTTAGGCTTTTGATAGGCGTTATAGATCACAGCAGAGCACTGGGGTGGGAATTGGACCTGGGCGCAGGAGCAGGGGTGACCCCATTACTTTGTGCTTGTGCATTCCCAGCTGTGAAATGAGGGCAATTCAGATGTTCACCTGTGAAACTTTTCTGAGTTAAAATCTTTGAAGACACACAAGACAATAGAAAGTGAAGTTTAGATTCTTGGATTAAAGGGACCATAGGTAGTGTTTCTTCATTTAAAGTGTCAAAAAGAAAATTAGTTCCCGTTTCTTAATTTTACTGCAATTATGTAAAACAGGTGATACAGTTTTATTAAAATTTTAAGATGATTGATAATATTTACCTGTTAAATCTCAATAAATAAACCCATAGCTAATTTTAGGTGTATTATTCCCTAAGGGCACACAAAATTACTTTGATATACACATCTCTATATTATTAAGATAAAAAGATTCCTTTACTAGAAGTGACTGAAAGCTCATAAATATAAAAGCAAAAGTACATGTATCAAAGCTTTTCCATGAATAATATATAGAAATACTCGGTTTCTTTTCTCTTTTCCATTTTTTGGGTTCTGGTACAGGATATTTTGATGATGCTTTGGAAGATTTCAAGAAGGTCTTAGACTTAAATCCTGGATTTCAAGATGCTACTTTGAGCTTAAAACAGACTATTCTAGACAAAGAAGAAAAACAAAGAAGAAATGTTGCAAAAAATTATTGATATTTTTAACTTAATGGAAGTATTGATTCATGATCCTTACATCTGCATCTAGTTATCAGTAATTTAGATATTGAGCTATTTTGATTTATATTTAAGAAATTAATACATTAGCACTGAAAGTTAAATAGTGTGTTTAAGGTAGTTAATTTCAGGTTGAATGGGTTTTTTTTAATGAAGTGTAAATAATACCAATGTATAAGTGTATATTATTATATTAAATATTATAGTAAAAAGGAATGTGTGGTATTTTCTTCAGCAAAACTATTTTTGTGATTTTTTTATTCTCAACTTTTTATTTAAAAAATGTTACATCTGCAGAAAAGTTGAAAGTATAATAAACTCTTCAGTTAAATTCATGAGTTGTTAATATTGTGCCACATTTGCTTTTTCTATTTAAATATATAACTTTTTGCTGAAACATTTGAAAATAAGGTGACGAGGTCACAGTACTTCGCCCCTAAATATTTCAGCCTACATTTTCTAAGATTGAGGACATCCTCCTTTATAACCACAATACCATTATAATACCTAATAAAATGAATAATTCTGTAATGTCAGCCATATCCAGCCCATATTCCAAAGTGTGTAGATTTTTATTTGGATCTAGAGCCAATCAGGTTTCAATTGCATTTTTTTTTTTTATGTTTCTCTCAGTTCTTTTAATCTAGTCCCCTGTCCATTTTCTTGCCCTAGCATTGGCTTTGAGAGAAAGGCTATTTTATATAGCTAGGCTAGAGAGACATAACATTTAGGCTTAAAAATAAACATGTCCTACAATTTGAAAGAGTTCAGCTTGAATTACACTTGATTTTCTCAAGTAATCATTGATAAAAATAGGTTAAGATTTAAATATTGAACATATTTTCTGTCTCTGGATAATGACAATTGTTATCAACATTTACTGAATACTATAAGCCAAGCACTGTTCAAATCTCCATAATAATTTGGTGATCAGGTAGGAATGTATAGAGAGGTGAGGAAATGACAAAAAGCACTTAGTAAGTATAAAGTTTAAAAATCTTTTATTTTGGTGCTGCCAACAATTAGGCCCTTATGAAGCTATCAAAAACCGGGAAGAACTTGAAGGGAAAACAGACTAACACCAGCCATATGCCATCTACATTTTTTGTATTTTATTGTTGTTTGGCTTCCAAAGATTCCCAAACTAGTTTATTACTGCTATGGAAAAGCTGTTCTGTGGTGGAAATTACCCGAATCAGGAGAAAGGAAAGTTTGCTTTGTGTCTTCAGAGGAAGGCGCAGGGTAACTTCTGTGGCCTCAGATGCAATCAGCAGCAGCAGCCTTAAAATGCTTTTTTTGTGTGTGTATGAGTAATCTCATGAAGCAGAAAAAGTAATTGCCCTGTTTGTAGCTCATAAGTAATATCTGGCAAAATACATGGAGAGTTTGGGCTGTAGGTAAGTGAATATTAAGAGGAAATTAAGTTTCATGGCCTAGAAACAAAGTCTCTGTTTCTGGAATTATTCATACTTTCCAAAACGGTTTATCTTATATTTGTTGGAAATCTAAAAAAATTTCTAAAATTGCATTAAAATGTAGAAAAATCCTTAGGAAAACTTTTTTTTTAAAAAAGCAAGTTTCCTAGACCTTGGGAGGGAAAGCTTTAAGCCATTCCACCCAGAGAAGCAAATGCTTAATGTTTAATTTTATTTTCTCTTGACTCATATTCTCTTTACTCTTGACTGGGATCAGATGGAATATGAAAAGGAAAAATTGTTTAACATTTTCATGTGGTTTGTTAGATTATATTCAAAATTTCTTCATCCTTTATCAGAAAAAAAAAAAAAAAAGTCACTTAAGTTCAGAATCAGCAGTTGCTGATTGTAGACCCAGGCACTCATTTTCTCTTGTCTTGTTACTGGAAATAAAGAATAATTCATTTACCTTGTTTAGCGTTGAAACTTTAGGCATTATTCAGATTCTAAGTTTCTGATTGACCAAATAATACCTTGGATATTTACCTTAAAATATATTCATTACCGTTCATATTTCCCACATTTCAGTATTCGTTATTTCCTTTTTCTACTAGAAAAGTAACTTATGTTTTCTAATTTTTTCCTTTGTAAAAACAAAAGAATTGTGGTTTGTTATAAGGTTTCTCTTTCACAAAGTGAGGTAAGATAGGATAAAATGGATTTAAGTTACTTTTGAGTTTAGAATATTACTCCTAACAGTAGTTGAAAAGTGTGGAGCTATTTGTTTTTTTCTGAAATTTGGAACTGAATAAAACCCTTTACTTTATGATAGCAAAGCAAATATCCAAGTTAGTCTTTAGTCATTATCTATTTGCTCTTTTGCTCTGTCATTTGCTCTTTTGCTCTGTCTTTTTTGGTTTTCTGTTTTTCACTGGCTTCTCTACCCTCTGAATCCTAAATGTAGCCTTGGCTCCCTGTCATTTTGTAGGTCTTAAATCTTTCTCCGTGGGCATGATATATTTCAACCCCACCTACCACTCAGCGTTTACACTGATTCTTGTCTCAATGTCTCCCTTTCTGCTAAGTCTAGCCCCCTTAAAAATTTAACTCAGAAGTAAACAGTTTGTATATAAACCGTAATAGCATGTTTTTTTTTTTTCTTTTTTGAGACAGGGTCTCACTCTGTTGCCCAGGCTGGATTGCAGTAGCTTGATGACAGCTCACTGCAGCCTTGACCTCCCTGGGCTCAGGTGATCCTCCCACCTCAGCCTCCTAAGTAGCTTGGACTATAGGCATGCGCCATCATGCCCAGCTAATTTTTGTATATTTTGTAGAGATAGGGTTTCACCACATTGTCTAGGCTGAGCATGAATGTTTACTGTGCTAGTTTTTTGTTTTATTGAGAATAATTCATATATCATATAGTTTACCCATTTAAAGTGTACAGTTCAATGGTTTGAAGGTATATTCAGAGTTGCTGCACCATTTTTTCAAGGTTTTTGGGTATACTGGTCTTGCATGCAAACTGCACTTAAAGTTACAACACAGAAAAAATTTTATGCAAATTAATGACTAAACATGAGAGTGTTTCAAAAACAACAGCTCATGCACAAAACAGATCTAAGAGTCCTAAAAAGTGCTGCTTCTGGCTTCATTCAAATATGTGGCACGATTCCACTTTGTCTCATGTGATGCTCTCTAACTAGAAATGTGTTGAGTAAATCAGACGGCTCATCTCTGCCTGAAATGGATGCTGAATTTAGTGTGTTTAGGTTAACATATTGCTACGCTAAACAAATTGTTGACAAATGTGTAATAGCTTTTCAAGAGCATAGTGAAAAGTTGACTGAATATTTGCTATTTACGCTAGGTGTGTAATTTTAACAATTTCTATATAAATTCACATTTTGGTGTTTTCTGTGTTTCTAAAAAATGTGACAGTAAATTGTGAGAACAGAATGCCCATAATTTAAAATGGCAGTTGGTAAAAGAGGGAGAGTGAGATTTGTTAAATTTCAAATCTAATGTTAAGGGACTTCAAATGACACCATTTCACTCTACAGAAAGGAAAGAAGGATGAGTATAGTCTAATTTCTGTTTTTGAAAAAACAAAGCAATTGATACAATTAAAACACATAGTTTATCCTTTTTAAAATCACAAGAAGGTAAAAGAACACGTCATGTAGCAAGACAAATTATAAAACAAGCAACCTGTAAGGAAGCCCCGAAACTGAAATTATGAATGTGGATATAAAAGTAAAATAGGAACACAACAGTGTAATCCCAGGTTTATATGTGTCATCACAAAATCATAAATATAGCAGTTTAGTGAAGGTCTTATTCTGCATAGAGGATGAAGCTAAGAAATTGAGTAACTTGTGCAAGGTTGTGTCCAAAATCCATATAAATATTTGAAACTGCAATGAGTATCAATGTTTTTGCTGTTGGCATCAACTCACAGCAGATATGTGGACTTTTTTTTTTTTTTTTGGTCCTGATAAAAAATTTAAATTGCTCATAAAATGTTTTAGTACCCAGCAAAGTGAGTATCAGAATAATATTAAAGTATGTTTTTAAATAATGGAATGTTATTGCAATGCCCACATTGCTTGGTGGTCATTTTTCTTATTAAAAACAGACACAAAAGATGGTGAAAAGCAGATTAATTTTAAGAGCAAACTCCATTTGGAAACTAGATAGCTACAGCTGCCAATATGTAAATTTTTATCTTATGTCAAAAAAAGCATCCAATACGTAGAAATAAGGCAAAAGGATTTGCATGGCATTTCAATATCATACCAGCAGACCCACTCAACGACTGTTTAATTCTTTTGGGGAGCCATGTGTGTGCCTTTCTTTGATTTTCTATTTACTCTTGATTAGGGCCCAGACTCTGGGAGGTTGCATGTAACTTGCAGATTTTTGTCCAGAGGAGATGCAAATGAACTCTGGTAGAAAAGATAACCCCAAAAGTTTTGGCTGTATTGCCCTGAAGAACGTTAACCAGTTTTGTATTTAACCTAGCAACTTTATTCCCAAATTCTTTCTTCATGGACCATAAGTACTCAGTTATTCTAATGCTCTTTTACCACTCTGGCGGTTCTCTATTAATGAGTTAAACATTTTTCACATTTTCATTCTATATTCTTATAAGAATCGTGCTTAACTTCAAAAAACATTTTGGCCCTACTACTGAAGAAACAACAAAAAACCCTTGGTATGGTTTGGCTGTGTCCCCACCCAAAATCTCATCTTGAATTGTAATCCCCATAATCCCCACATGTCAAGGGAGAGACCAGGTGGAGGTAATTGAATCATGGAGCTGTTTCCCCGATGCTGTTCTCGTGATAGTGAGTGAATTCTCACGAGATCTGATGGTTTTTAAGGGTTTGGCAAGTTCCTCCTTCTGTCATTCTTCCTACTGCCTTGTGAGGAAGGTGCCTTGCTTCCCCTTTTGCCGTGATTGCAAGTTTCCTGTGGCCTTCCCACCCATGCTGAACTGTGAGTCAATTAAACCTGTTTCCTTTATAAATTACCCAGACTGGGGCAGTTCCTTATAGCAGTGTGAAAACAGACTGATACAACCCTTAAGTAGAATTTATTATTACATAGTCACATTATTTCTAGCAGGAATAAGAGCCAAGGGGGACTGAAAAGCTTCAGTTTTTTTTTCTGTTGCTTATTTATTTTTTTTTTTTGAGACAGAGTCTCGCTCTGTTGCCCAGGCTAGAGTGCAGTGGCGTGATCTCAGCTCACTGCAACCTCCACCTCCTGGGTTTCAAGGGATTCTCCTGCCTCAGCCTCCTGAGTAGCTGGGATTACAGGCATGTGCCACCAAGCCCAACTCATTTTTGTATTTTTAGTAGATACCGGGTTTCACCACGTTGGTCAGGCTGGTCTCAAACTCCTGACCTCATGATCTGCCTGCCTCGTCCTTCCAAAGTGCTGGGATTACAGGCGTGAGCTACCGTGCCCAGCCCGCCTATTTCTTTAAACTATTCAACAATTCTTGTTTGGAGTGTGTGGAGGCTTGAGCTCTGGCTGAAGCGAAGTAGAGGGAAGGCCATCACATTCAATTTAAACACATGCAAAAAGTACTCCTTTTAAAAGTGGCAAACCTGCAGAATATAAGGTAAAAAGCAGTTCCTGTCTATCCTTCTAGGCCTTTTTCTTTGTACAAATACATGGGCACAGGTATGCAGATACATGCGCAGAATTATGGTATACATATTATTTGGTAACTTAAATCACTTATTATTTTGAACATTCTTTTGTGTAAGAACTTAGAAGTCTACCTTATTCTGCTTTGACACATAATTTTTAAAGCCGCATGAAAAGTGCTTGCCAATTTCTTGATATACAATTAATACATGGCTATGGTAATAAAAATTAAAACAGTACAGGAGGTATAAATAAAAAGACCCCCCGCCTTTCATATTTTTCTCTACAGCTAACCATTTTTAGCCAGAATAACTAGAAACAAAGGGTTAAAAGGCTCCCTTTCCTATGGCTGCTAGTCACCTCTTGAAAAAATTACTATTAGTTGTGTTCACCACCTGAGTGCCTCTTTTCCCTCTAGGCAATTTTGACTCCTGTGTACCAAGAATACCTTTGAATGTATTCTTTTGGCACCACGTTATTTGAACCTATTTCCACTTTATTGGAAAGCTCTTTTTAAGATCACAGAGTTGATGTTGTGCAAACTTAAAGCATCCCAAACGGAGTTCCTGGTCCTCCCCCAGCACAGCTAATGGCAGCTGTACTGTCCCGCCTCTCATGCCAGACTTGGTCCCAGTGCTCCCCAGCGGCAAACACTGTGGGTTCCTACCTTGAAACAGATCCCGATTCCAGCAATTTTCATCTCATCCGCTACCACCCAAAGCCAAGACATCAGCCCCTCTGTATTGCAAGTATCCTGCTTTGTCAGTTTTACCTCCAAAGTCAGTTTCAACACAGCCACCAGAGTGAAGGTTTGGGAGTGTGCCATGGCTTCTCTCAGTGAGAAGCAGAGTCTTCACAAAGACTCACGTTGAGGAACTTACATGTGCTGTTTTCTCCCTGCCTTACCCCATGGCCTTATCCTGGCCCTTCTCTGACCGCTCTCTTTAAAATAGCAAATCCTCATCATACTCATCTTTTTTCTGTTTACCCAAACCATGTTCTTATTTATTTTGTCTTTCCCACACTGGAAGGCAAGCTCTGAGAGGGCAGGGACTTTTGTCTCTTTTGTTTACTGTTGTGTCCTCAGCACCACGGCCTGGCATGCAGAAGGGCCTTACATGTGTTGAATGGATAAGTGAATTCATTATCATAATCTGCTCAGTAACTTGCTATTTAGAGCTTACAGATTCATCACTGGCTAATAGGTATGGGGTGGATAAGTGTTTGAGCCCTTCTCAGCTGACCTTGAGAATAGGGCCTGATTTATAGTTCAGCATCGATTTTATTTAAAACAGGTCACTATTCTAGTTTAGAGGAAAAAGCCCCTCTAAAAGACAAGGTCAAATTCAGCAGGTAATATAATGTTATAAACTATAAAGTTACCTGTTAGGAGTTGAATTGGGCCCCCCAAAAAGATATGTTGGAGTTTTAACTACCAGTACCTCAGAATGTGACCTTATTTGGGAATAAAGTTATGACAGATCTAATTAGTTAAGAAGATGCAGGTGGAGTAGGGTGGGTCCTTACAGATACCTTGTGTGACTGATGTCCTTACAAGGAAAAGGAAATTTGGACACAGACACTGGGGAGAACGGCTTGTGAAGACAGAGGTGGAGACTGGAGTGGTTCTGCCACAAGCCAAGGAACACCCAGGGATACCCGAAACTGGAAAAAGCAAGGAAGGGTTTCCAGCTCCCCAGGGGTGAGGTCCATGCCCTAGAGGCTTCAGAGGGAGCATGCCCTTGCCAACACCTTGATTTTGGACTCCCCAGTCTCCAGGACTGTGAGAAAATAAATTTCTGTTGTTATAAGCCACTCAGTTTGTAGTGCCTCGTTACAGCACTGCTGGGAAACCCAATAAATAGTAGTTTCATTTTCAAATGACAGGCCTTTTGCACATGAGCTCGCATGTTTCTGCACCTACACATGCAGCTCTATTGAAGAAAAGGTGAGCCTTTTGTTAGAACAAACCTGAAAACGGAAGACTTCCAAGGTTGGGGGGTGGGTGTGGGAAAGAAGGGGCTATTACTCCTTTATCTGATCATGACCCTCACTGGATCAGGAGAGGAACCCATGACTGAGCACCATATAGAACATGCTGGTTGCCCTGGCTGCCTGCTGAGAAATCCATAACCACCCCCGTGTGGCTTCGAGACATTCAACTCTCGGAGAACTGAGGTTTCTCTGACTTGAGATTGGAAAGGAAAAGTGGGAGTCACTTCATGCTGCCAAACAACAAACCATTGCTAACAAGCCAGGTGAAAAAATAACCCAGTTGGCTGAGCAGGCAGGATTGGGAGCTGTCAGTCTGGGACTCACAGAACAATAATTATTTCCATTATGAAGACTGGCTGCCAGTAGACTTACTGGAACTGCACCAGCTTCTTGCTTGGGGAGGGTGGTGTGGAGGCAGATGGAGCAAGGCGCCTGCATGCAGGGCCCCAAGCCTCGGTGTGTCACTCATCTGTGACAATGGCCAGTGCCCACTCCTCTACCCTTGCTATTCTCAATCCCACCGCCCTGTCTGTGTTCAAATTTCTCTCCCAGAATACAGCCTTTTCATTTATTTAAATCCTGCTCATTCTTCTGGGACCAGCCCAAGTCCCAGTAACTACCATTAAACCTTCCCTGCCAATATCAACCCAAACTCATCTCATTCTCTAACTTCCATCACACTCTGGTCTAGATGGAGCACCCTTGCTACTGAATGGGGACCACAGACCGGCAGCATTGGCATCACCTGGGAGCTTGTTAGAAATGCAGATCCCTAGCCCTGTACCAGACCTGCTGAATCAGAGCTCACACTTTACCCAGGCCCCCAGGCGGTTCATACGCACACTAAAGTATGGGGAGCACTGTCTGTAGTACTGGTTCTCAGCACATGGTCTATGGACCAGCAGCACCTAGGACCATGTTAGAAATGCAAAATATCAGCCCTACCCCAAGCCAAGTGAATCTAGCTCCCTGGGGGTAGGGTCTAGCCATCTGTGTTTTAACAAGGCCCCTGGGGAGTCTGAGGCACACTCAAGTTTAAGAACTACTTCCAGTTCATCTGGCCCAGCATCTAATTCCAGGGTGCTTTTCCATTTCCTGTGTTCCTCTCCCTCTTCAAGATGTGGACCCTGAAGGCAGGAGCCATGTTGGTTGTCTGTCTGGCACTCAGACCAGTTTCAACAGGGTGATTGACGTCCCAGGGCAACTGATCTGTTTTCCTTACCCCTCCCTGCCCTATACAAGCACAAGGGAGTCTGGGGAGAAGGACAGTGGAGGAAAGGGCCGATGGAAGATGACCTTCTTGTTTTCCCGAGTCAAGGGTTTGAGGTTTTTGTGGGAGGTTGGGGTGCATTATGCTGCTTCTCTCAAATTGGAGACCATTGTTACCATGTAATTTTATGTTGTGGCCTGACTTGATCCAGAATTCTGTCTCCAATAGTTTTACGTGGGTTTTCTCCCTGGAAAAAGTTATTACGATTGAGCAAATAAAGCAATGTTGGCTAACTGTTCCCTTTTCTGGATCGACATGTCCTTCATCTGGGTAAGTGGCAGTGGCCAGCTCCTCTGGCTTGCAGGACCAGCAAGGAAGATTTTCAGACGTGACTAATGTATAGGCTCCTTGGACTTCCTACTCATGAACTCTCATAAAATGTGCTTTGTTCCATCATTGTCAATTAACACAGCAGCGAGCAGTGCTGGGCTGGGGAGCAGCCGGGCCTCGCCTTTAGTGCACTTCCTCCTTGGCTGGCTGTGAGCTTTCAGATAGCCAGACATAATTCCTTTTGAGCTGCTTAATGGACACATAATTTTAATCAGTCATAGGACACTTGAGCGGGAAGGAACTGGAGAAATCATCTACTCCTTTATTTTACAGGTAAAGGTTCCGGCTTAAAGGTTATGCAGTTGGTTAACAGAATTATGACCAGATCTAGCCCTTCCGGTTCTCAGTTTAATAATAGTGACTTCCAGTTAGTGAAGCATGCCCCGGTGTACACTTATTTTCATTAATCCTGATGGCAAACCTTAGACCTATCTCAAGATTCAATTTTGTGCCTAGGACCATCCTCCCGGATTGCAGTCCCATGGGCCCAGCCCTGTGATGTAATATGCAAAGGCTCAGAAACCTAATTTGGAGAAGAACGTTATGGGCACTGAAGACGTCCTGCAGTAGACAGGACACCCCAAGGCACTGCTAAGTTGTGGGTGCATGTCTCCAGCTGGAGCTGTGGGAATGAAAGCTGGCATAAAGAATGTTGGGATGAGGGACATAGACCTAATCACATTTCCATCTACTCAAATGCTGCTTATAATCTGACTTACAATCATGGGAAGGAGAATGGTGATTCCACATAAAACCTCAGGTACTGAGGACAGCAACCTACCTGGAATAGGGGCGGGGAAACGGGAGAACCTTCCAGCAAGACAAATGTCTGCCATTTCCATGTGTCCTCATGAAAGCCTCATGACATTCTTTCAAGACTGACATTATTTCTATTTTACTAAAGGGACAATCAGAGAGTTATGTTAGACTGGAGTCAAAGCTAGAAGGTCCCAGATTCTTTTCCTTAAACCTAAGCTCCCTCTAGGGTGACCAACTTGCCCCATTTTGCCCAGGGCTCAGTTTTGAAGCCCCTCCGCTCAGGGCAAGCCTCGCTCCTCCCTCTTCTTGCCCTGGAGGGAACAGGAGTTCTTGATAGGCGCCGTCCTGGCCTCGCAGGGCCTGAGTTCAGCCTATTTTGCTCAGCCGATTGGCGCCTGGCACCAGGGCAGGGCAGGCTGCTTGGTTGGGGTGGAGGGGGGATGTGGCCCACAGCCCCGGGCAGGCTGCTGCTCTGCCAGCTGCTGTCACACCCCATTTTACTGTGGAACGCTGGTCACCAACAGGAGAGTGTCGCCTGCCTGGTTCTACTTTAATTCACGCCCACAAGAAGTGGAATATGAGGGAGAAGACAGGAAGACAAGTGACTCAGCCGTCAGAGAAGCCAATCCCCGCTGTTTCTGCCTTGGGCCAAATTTAGGTGCGAGGGTCAAAAACTTACTCAGAATTAGCTGAAGTCAAAAGGGACATTAAGGATACGAGTCTCATGGAAACAGGAATGAGTTTCACGTCCCAGGCATTGGCAGAATGTGGAGGGGACAGCTCGCCCACCAGTCCTCCCCAGCCCAGCCTCCCTGGTGTCCTGAGAGGCCCAGTAACCAGCACTGGGTTTTGAACCAAACGGTAATGCAGACAGGCAGATCCAGAGGGGATGTTGGGCTTCTCTGGGAATAGGACTGGGTTGCAGGATGCAGCTTAGAGGGGACACTCCGACAACAGAGCCTCAGAATTCGGAAATGGTCCTGGATGTGGCAGGCAGTGCCATGGGGGTAGGGGAGGGTGTGGGCGGCGGCTGCTGCCGCCCAGGTAGGGTTATGGTAAGAAGGAGACAAGAGCTGCACAGACTCTGAAAGCAGGCACCCCCAGGAGAGTGAGGGGAGAGAGGAAGGGGCTGAGCTATGCAGCTTGTTTTTTTTTTTTTAACCCACACCATCCCCTCCCCCTAGCATCAGGGAAGTCACCGTGTCCCAGGGTGGGGCAGAGAGAAAAGAGAGAGGGAAGAGGCAGAGAGATGGTAGGAATGTCATAGCTAGTAGAAGTCCACCCCCATGGCAGGAGATAGGAGTTGGGGGAACAAGCATTTCTCCTCCTTCCCCCTGTAGTTCTTGGCCCGGGACTCCAGCTGTCATAGCCTTGATTCCTGGCTGACACCTGCACTACTGTGTGTTATGCCCTTGGCTTCTCCTGCTTATAGAGCTCTGACCTGCCCAGGTGGCTCCAGATTGCAACTTCCTTACCAAGGCCTCTCACTCCCCTCAGAGGTGTTTCCTCTTCTCTGTACAGTCACATCCATCAGATTGTACCAAGGGCCTTTTGCTTTTTAAAGCAGTTCAGGTTCTAGTCCAATGAGGACATGCAAATTCTATCTTATTAGGAGTCCCTTAAGGGCCTCTTTTCTGTTCTTTTGATGTTCTTGGTATTTCTAAAATCCTGATAATGAACTGGGGCCTGAGGTCCTCAATGGGGAGAAGCCAGCATATTGAAGCCTTTATGGCCCAGCAGGAGTCCCGGCTGGGACTTGGATACCTGGCTGTCTTCATCACCAAGGCCAATGGGTACACCCCCCACTTCCCAGCCCTTACAGCTAACCAGTACCTGATGCTCAGCTAGGTTAGCAAGAGGGACCACCCGCTTTAACAGCGAGAAACATTGCCCTTCTGAGACGGCTATGTAGGCCAGGAAAGAGTGTGGGCTGAGTTGAGATCTCAGTCCATTACAGCATGATCTGGAAAGGAGGCAGACTCTGTAACTGGGCTCTAGGGAACCATTCTTACCACCCTCCTCAGAGGCTGCTTCAGGGTCTGGCCAGGAAGGGCCCCAAACAAGAGGCCTACATCTAAGGCAGTCAGTGTACACAGTGGGGAAGAGAGTCATGCCAGAGAATCTCTAAGTCAGACTGTGTTTTGTGGACTCCCAGCGTGGAGCATTTACCCAGGGGGTGGAGATGGTCACAAAGATGTCACTGGAAGACTCATGTGGAGAAGTGGGACAAGCTGGGCTTGACAAGTAGGACAAGTCATAAAAAAGTGTAGGGAGGCTGCAGGCAGACGTGTTCCAAGTGCTCATCGAGAGCTCAGAACTCTGGGCAGCACTTAGGGCTATGGCGGTACCAGGGCAGTTTTCTCCTCCACTAAATGCCTCTAGGATGCAATAACCATTCTTGCTGCTAGCCTTCTTCCTTGCTAGTAATATGTCCGCTGGTACTTGAGAAGCCAGGCAACATGGCTTAAGCCAGGCATCTCATTTCACTAAAATTCCAACAGGCTTCAAGGGCCTCTGCAGCGGAGTGCCAGGAGTTGTCCCTTGCTTTAGGAGAGGCAAGATCAGTGAGATAGAACACTTCCAACAGAACAGTGGGGCTGACAAGTGCTGGGTTAAATGTGCTTATTACACTGGGAAGCTGTTGTCACGTGTCATTCATGGAATGATGTACAGGTCATCTTGGACAGGACCAGCACAGTGGCCACCACCGTGACCAGGAAGCAAGATGGCCAGCCAGGGCCACAGCCAGGACCTTCAGGCACTGTTCTTTGAGGAGGAGGAACGCAGAGTTTCAAGGGCGGCAGGGGCTCGCATGACATGCTTTCCACAGTTCCCACTCAGATCTTGATCTTCTTTTGGCTTGTGGGCATATAAGTCCTGGAGTCACTGGAACCAGAGCCAGATGGTCAAGTGCTCTCTTCTGGCCTGAGTTCAAGGTGTGTATGGGGTGAGGGACTCACTGAGGCAGGAGGACTAAGATCTATGTTCATATGACCTCTATTCTAGGACTGTCTCCTAGAAGGGTAATCAGACTTGTTAAATGTTTCATAAAATGCCTGAAAATTATCGTAGCCAGACACTAGGCAAGTGTGATGGGCAAGAGCCAGGGGTTTTTGGCCAAAGAGCTCTTAGAGCTCACTCAGCTCTGGAGGAAAGGCCTCTTCAAGAGTTCCTCAGGCTGAGATGTAGGCATGACATGCAGAGTGCTTGCTGTTCAGGGACTTCTGCAGGAGGGTGCCATCTGGTCAGGACTTGAGGCAGCTTTCAGAAGGGTGAGTTTGTTTGGAGGGATGGAGGGGGAAAGTGCAGAGAACTTTATGGGCAGGACCTTTGGGGCAGAACTTCTCAGTGTTGCTACTGGACACGTGGCTAGGGGCCTGCTCTTACCTCCTTCTCTCTCCTCTGGATAGTACTGGCCACCACAATGCCCGTCAGGGTCCAAGTGTAGGCAGGATTGGGTCAGGTGGTACAGATACACCTGAGAATGGAAGTGGGTGAATAGCAGAAGACTGAGCATTACAGCAGGACAAACCTTAAGGAGCCAAGGATCTGGAAGCTTCCACAGCATCTCGAGCTCGGTGTGGGCAGAGGCCATTCTGTTCTAGCAGGAACAGAAGTTCCTGTCTCAGGGCCTTGGGAAACCAAGAGTGACCCAACAACAATTCCTTCCCACCCACACTTTTTCCTAAGACAAAAGCCTTATGGGACCTCTTCCCAACTGGCTTTAGTAAGAGGGCAGGCTTTCTTCAAGGAGACAAGAGGAGGAGAGGAGGAGTTAAAGTGTGAGAATGGGATGGGGAAGATAATGAGCTTCCTCCTGCATCTAGGCATGAAATGGGATTATTCTGAGGGTGTTGATCAGGAATGAGTCAGTTTCGTTTCCTCTTAGGAAGTCTACTTATTGAATGCTTTATCAATACTTCTAAAGTCTTCAGTGACTTTAACGTTAATGCTCCATTTTGCAGAAGGTGGTAAGGTTCAAAAAGGAGACATGACCTGTTTAGGTCACAGAGTCAACAACTGTCTAAGCAGAGGATCAGCTAGGGTCCCACTCATGCTAGGCTGCCCTGTCCCCACCCTCCATGCTTAATCTGGTTACCAGTTGCCATCTGTCAGACTTGACTTCTAAACGTTGATGCCAAGTCACCAAGCAGGACATGTCATCCAGATCTCTTTATAAAAGCCTAGGAAGTACTTGGGACCTGGGGCTCCCAGGGACTTTGCTCAGTGTCCCCATACTGGCCATATAAACAGGAATCTAGGTTCCTATTTAGCCCTTTCTGGTTCTCTGAGATCTCACCTCTTTGAATCTGGGTGCCACAAACTTCACCAGCTTCTTGACCAATGAGGGGTATTGGACCTTCTCACCCTGGGAGACAGGGTAAAAGTCTACCTCTAGCAGGTTATTCTCTTTTTTGCAGCTGTCAGGAAGAATTTGGAGACAAACAAGGAGTGAGGCACTCTGGAGAAACCTTGTGTCCATTCCAGTAGTTATCTGAGGACTGGTGAGGACTGGCTGACCCTTTCTTATACATGAGGAAGTATGAGTAGGACTGGGGCGGGGGCTTGAGGCTGTTAGAAGTCAGGGGAAGTTCCTAACTGAGAAGCTGCACAGAAGTGATGGAAGTCTCATTTGGTAGACTCAGATCTATTGGGAGATTTGGTCCTGTATTAGTCCCTTCTCACACTGCTATAAAGAAATACCCGAGACTGGGTAATTTATAAAGGAAAGAAGTTTAATGGACTCACAGTTCTGCATGGCTGTGGAGGCCTCAGGGAACTTACAATCATGGCAGAAGGCAAAGGAGAAGCAGGCACCTCCTTCACAGGGTGGCAGGATGGAGTGAGTGCAAGCAGGGGACATGTCAGACACTTATAAAACCATCAGATCTCGTGAGAGTCACTATCATGAGAACAGCTCCGGGGAAACTGCCCCCATACCTCCACCCTTGGTCCTGCCCTTGACAAGTGGGGATTGTGGGGATAATTCAAGATGAGATTTTGGGTGGGGACACAGCCTAACCATATCAGGTCCTCACTTTGGGGATCTTGCTTTAGCATGTAAGATATTCTTACAGAATCTTGGGCTATATCTGGTAGGACTGGGGTTCTGGTTCTGCCCTCTCAGCTGCTAGCTGAGGATATGTACCTATTTATTATGTTCCACTGGGGGCTGCCATCAAATTCTGGTGACTCTGACACCCAACACTTGTCCAGGAGTAATTCTGCTGAGGCATCTGCAAAGCTCATCAGTTCTACCTCAAAGAGTGTTGACTATGGCTGATTCACAATGGCCATCTCCCCATGGTGAAACTCAATGAACGACTCATCTTAAGAGAGGAAGGGCTTGGTGAACTCATGGACAACTTTCTTCTTCTGCCCTTTGTCCCCCAAAGTATACTCCAGAACACCCTTACCTTGAGCTACTCTTGCCTGGATCTCCAGTGTCTGTCTGCTCTCTCTGAGGCCCTGCTGAATGAGAGAATGTCAAGCTGAGGGCACCCAGGCAGAAATACTCAAAGTTCTCCCTCTGTTCCCCAGCCACTCCTTGACCTCGGACCTGGGACTGCCATACCACCATGCCATCTCCTGGTGGCAGGACAGCTTTCTTCTTCCACCTGTCCTTGTGCCTGTCCTCTTGGGCCAATGTTTCTTTAACTGAGTAGTAGCAGAGCAGCATCAGCCTAGGACAAGCATGGAGGCAAGAGCAGGCTCACTGGTTTGTAGAACTGCAGAGCAAGAAAGGACTTGAAGGAACTCTGGTTCATGGACAAGACAAGGCAAACAGACTCTGTACCAGGGAGGCAAAGAGACTTCAACGTCTCAACTTAGGAATGACAGCATTGGGGCTTGAGGCTGGAAGAGATAGCCTACTATCTGTTCTGCTGGTCTTCTCCATTGGTTGGTGGGCTATGTGCATGGTGGATCATGATTTAGTTATGCAATGATTTGTTTCTAGCAACACTGCTTAGTCTATCAAAGAAGAAGGTCTGTCAGTATTACTCCAATTTACATCATACCTCCAATATAATAAGTATTAGGTAAGGAAGTAAAATAGGACCTAAAAAATGAAAAAGAGAACATGGAAACTGAAGCATTTTGGGGCACTGTCACTGATGTTTTGAGTTCCTCCTGCTGCAAACTATACACTGGCATTCTCTTCCCTAGTCAGCTGGAATTTCCTGAGGACAGGGGTGGGGACAACAGTGAGATGAAGCTCAGGGGCACAGCTGACTTCCATTCATACAGTGGCCATCTCACCTGTAGTCTGGATATCTTGTAATTGTGGGCCAGCCCTTCATAGCAAGGGTTCCTTCTCATACATGATTCCCTTTTCATATATAATATAGTCACCTTCAAACTACATAACCCAAGATTTTAGAGCATATGGAGAACATGGGTGATACGGTTTGGCTGTGTCTCCACCCAAATGTCATCTTGAATTGTAGCTCTCACAATTCCCACATGTTGTAGAAGGAACCCAGTGGGAGGTAATTGAATCATGGGGGCAGGTCTTTCCTGTGCTTTTCTTGTGATAGTGAATAAGTCTCATGAGATCTGATGGTTTTTTAAAGGGGAGTTTCCCTGCACAAGTCTTCTCTTCTCATCTGCTGCCATGTGAGACATGCCTTTCACCTTCTGACATGATCATGAGGCCTCCCCAGCCATGTGGAACTGTCAGTCCATTAACCCTTTTTCTTTTGTAAATTGCCCAGTCTCAGGTATGTCTTTATCAGCAGTGTGAAAATGGAACAATACCACAGGACTGAGAAGAAAAAGCTTAGATGGTATGCTAAGGCCTGGCAGGAGCAGGTGGCCCTTTTGCCTTACTCACCCTCACTGAGGTACCACGGCTGGTGACGTCAAGTCAGAAGAAGGTTTGGTTGCTGCTAGACTCTGTTGGCTTGCAGGTGCAATCCTTCAGTGTGGCCTTGCACATGTCAATGGAAGGGTCTGTGGCCATCATGGAAGAGATGGCCACAGTCCCACTAGGGAAACACACTAGGAACACAACCATAGTTCTCACAACCATCCTGTTTCCAACCATATTTTGATCAAAGTCTGTTCTCTATTTTACCTGGCAGTCCTTGGACGAGGCTGGGCTAAGCCTTTATGCTGCTCCTTGAGGTAGGACTTGGCTCCTGACCCCAGGGCTTTTCACAAGTTACCTCAGACACACCCATTTAAAATGCATTTTTAGGCCATCAAGTAGGTTGTGGATAAATATTGGAATTTGTTCATTTTTATATGTATTATTTGAGGGGCTGAAGGCAAAACCTGGATACTATCTGAGGCATGGTGATCAGGTTGGGGGCCCTGCCTTCAAGAAAGTCAGCTCAGAAGGGAAAATAAAGACAGTCAAGGACAAGTAACTAGTGCAAGGCAGAAAATGGTTATGGCTCTGATTATGAGAGTTCAAAAGGAAAAAGTTGGGGGGAGAGGGAGGAACCAGAAAGGAGATCCAGTGGTTGGCAGGCTATGTGGTTATAGGAGAAACAGCATTTGAAATGGGCTGTGAAGCCTGAGACTTCACATAGGAGGCGAGGGGGGTTAGTTTTCCCATAGAAGGTATGGATGTGACACACAGCAGTGTGAGCTGGTCTCGATCATCTCCCCAGGGAGTACAGACCAGTCAGCCTGGAAAGATCTCACCAAGGCAGATGCACAAGGCCTTCTTCATGCAGGATGGGGGCGGTGCTGTGGTTCTAGACTGGGATCAGCAGTGGGCCTGAAGACAGGGTTGGGAGGTGGGATGAAGCAGCATGGGGACCCAGAAGCCCAGCTTCTCACCAGTGAGGTCTGAAAAGGGATAAATGCATGGGAGCTGGTGTCCCATGTAGAGCTCCAACAGGAGAGCAGGTCAGTTACTGGGGTGGCCAAGTATAGGTTCTCACTGTCACAGGTGCCAATGGCCTGGGGAAGTCCTGTGAAAAGTACAGGATGGGTAAATGGGACTCAGGTTGGGGTCCGATTCTCCTTATTGTCCAGCCTTGACATAGCAAGACTGAAGAGTCTTGTTGGAGGCCTTTTCTCTCCCAATGGGGTAAATCCATGGAGAAGGTTTCTGGAGTCTCTAGCATGTCAGTTTTCTTTGGGGCCACCTCAAGCTGGGCGCAAATCCTCTGGAGGGAGAGATCCTGGGACCCACCCCACAGCTGGGTTCAGTTTCATCAGAAACAGATGCCACGCAGTCCTGGCCATTGGGGCAGATCTGGCAGCTGAGGCCTGTGGGGCCCAGGATGCTGAGAGTCGCCCAGGGGGCCTGGGATCTGGAAGCCACTTCTTTCTAGTTCTAGGGATTTTAATGGCATGACATGCACCCAAACACAGGCCATTCCTCACAAATGCTGTTGTAGACTGTATTAGATACCATACATTCTGCTCCCCGAGAACACTGGACAGGGATTGCTCAAGCCCGCATCCCTGGCCTGGGAGGGGCTTCCACAGCCGCTGTTTGGACAGAGCCAATGCAACTTGTTGGGCACCAAGACCATCCAGGCACTTCCTTGTGTCTGAAGTGACACACCGCTGTGACTGATGGCCCAGGACAGTGGCTGCACAACTTCTCTCCACCCTCCTTAGCCCGTCAACCAGCTTAAGCCCTCGGGGGACCCCCTCATACAGCGCCCCTGGAGAAAAGAGTTGCACTGCCAATAGCAGATGGGTGGAGTTATCTGTCATGAGGACTATGTCAAGGGGTCCTGGCCTACGGCTCAGGTGCCAGTGTCCCATGTAGAGCTCCCAACAGGAGAGCGGGTCAGTTACTGGGATGGCCAAGTATAGGTTCTCACTGTCACAGGTGCCAATGGCCTAGGGAATTTCTGTGAAAAGTACACAATGGGTAAATGGGACTCAGGTTGGGGTCCGATTCTCCTTATTGTCCAGCCTTGGCATACCAAGACTGAAGAATCTTGTTGGAGGCCTATTCTCTCCCAAGCATCCATTTCTCATCACTCCCCTTTGGCCCTTTTACTTTTCCACTGGAGCCCTAGTGTGAAGGCCCTTAAGTGAGATGCCTTTTATTTTTGATTCAGCGTCTCACTCTTGCCCAGGCTGGAGTGCAGTGGCACAATCATGGCTACCTGCAGCCTCCATCTACTGGGCTCAAGTGATCCTCCCGCCTCAGCCTCACGAGTAGATGGGACTACAGGCATGTATCAGCATGCCATGGTAATTTTTAAATTTTTTGTAGAGACGGGGTCCCATTATGTTGCCCAGGCTGGTCTTGAACCTCTGAACTCAAGCAATCCTTCCACCCAGGCCTCCCAAAGTGCTGGGACTATAGGCATGATCCACCTTGGTCAGCCCAAGAAGGCTTTTCTTTTCTTTTTTTTTTTTGAGACAGTTTCACTCTTATTGCCCAGGCTGGAGTGCAATTGCGTGATCTCGGCTCACTGCAACCTCCACCTCCAGGGTTCAAGAGGCTCTCCCGCCTCAGCCTCCTGAATAGCTGGGACTTCAGACGCATGCCACCAAGCCTGTCTAATTTTTGTATTTTTAGTAGAGACAGGGTTTCACCATATTGGCCAGGCTGGTTTCAAACTCCTGACCTCAGGTGATCCACCCGCCTCAGCCTCCCAAAGTGCTGGGATTACAGGTGTGAGCCACTGTGCCTGGCCAAAGGCTCCTTTTTTTTTTTTTGAGACAGGGTTTCACTGTGTCACCCAGGCTGGAGTGCAGGGGTACAAACAGGCTCACTGCAACCTCTGCATCTTGGGTTCAAGCAATTCTTGTGCCTCCTGGGTAGCTGTGATTACAGGTACATGCCACCATGCCCTGCTTTTTTTTTTTTTTTTTTTTTTTTTTTTGGTATTTTTAGTAGAGATGGGGTTTCACCATGTTGGCCAGGCTGATCTCGAACTCCTGGCCTCAAGTGATCCACCCGCCTCGGCCTCCCAAAGTGCTGAGATTACAGTGTGATCCACTGCGTGTGGCTGAGAAGGCCCCCTTTTTAAAGAAAAGTCTTATCTCGTGGGAAGTCAGCAGGAAAGCCAGGGATGGGGAAGTGGTTCTGGCACTAGATCAGCAATGGCAGTTTCTCAGGTTACAGCTGTGTGAGGTCTGTGTTCACGGCCTTGGGTTCTGAAGTGTAAGCTTTTGGTTAGGACAGTGGGGAGATAGGGGATTTGGGCTCTGGTCCAGCTCCATACTATGCCAGCTGTGTGATGGAGCTCCTCTCAGAGCCTAATGCCACCTTGAGTTTTACCCATCTTGCAGAGCTGTGGGGCTCAGAAGAGAAGGACTCCATCTTTGGAGAGCATCTTGGTGTTCAACATGCTTTCACTCTTCAGCCTCCTTAGAGGGGGCCAGTAGTTGGAGAAAATGGGGATTGGATAATGCTGAGTTCCTTGCTTAAAGTTTGCAATGGAACCAGGATTCAGACCCATTAGATGGCACCCTGAAAATGCTTTGAGGATAGAACAGTGCCATCTGTGTGGCAGCAAGCCTTCAACACTAGAATCCTAGTGACCTTAAGAGGATGACACCTAGCAGAGCTATAGGAAGGAAGACAATATACCTGTTTTCTTACTTCCTGGAGCTGTCAAACCTATAGGCAGGCCTAGTCAAGGGGCAAAAGATGACTCACCTGGAACTTTCCTGTTTTTATATCCTTTCCCTGCTATCTCTACATTGGGTACCTAATGACCTTGCTGGGAAGAAGGCCATGTCTGATTTATACCAAGGTCTTGATACCACTGGCTACCCTTACTGTGACCTTGACAGGAGAAGTCTACCAAGGTTAATATTTCAGGGGTGGTGGCACCTGGGAGGGAAGACTGTATGGGGTACGTTGAGTCCTGTTCATGTCATTCCTGGCATGATTTAAGTGAAGTCTTACTGCTGATTGTATGAGCAGCCACCCATTCTCTGTATTACTTCATGAGTCTGCCAACAGCTGCTTCTATACTGGGTTTCCAATCCCAGGATGCAGACAAGCCACTTGTGAGGAGTTACTTCTGTGTAGCCCCAGTGGGACCCCCCTCCCATGGGAGGGGCTTCCACAGCTGTTGTTTGGACAGAGCCAGTGTAACTTGTTGGGTACCAAGACCATCCATGAGTCCAGGACCAGCACCTCACTTGGTGTACTTACCCACATCCTTGAAACTATATACCATTTCTGCAGGGTAGGAGAATGGTTTCCCATCTGGACCCACGCTCAGCATGTAGTTCACATGGAGGACATAGTGGGTTTCATTCCTGTTCATGTACTAGAAGACATCACAGGAACAGTCTGCAAGTGATGGATAGAGTAAAGTAATTCAAAATCTAAGCTGTTAGAACCTCAAAACATTTTGAGCCTTAAGGGAATGTGATTATAGGACCTGAGTCACATAAACATGCAGCTGTAACCTTTGTTTCTGATTACAGATTGGTCATTTTTCTTACCTACATGTTTTGTAAAATGTTGTAAATGACTAAAGGGTGCCAGGGAAGACCCCTTCCCTCTTAACTGTTGATATTCAGTATAGATTAACTTCCCTCTTTCCTCTTCCACACAAAGTCTTCATGGCTATGGGATTGTCTAAGATGGAATGTTAACTACTCTTAAATTGGAAAGGAAATGAAAACAAGCTGTAAAGAAAACAAACTTTATGGAAAAGAAAACAAACTAAATTGTAACTCATAAAACAGCCTTGTATAGAAAATGATAAAATCCTACTGAATTTCTTTATTTTCTGCCTATATAAGCAAGACCTTAACTTTTAACTTCGGAGCACTTATTCCATTTCTCTGAAGTCTGTTTCCTGTATGGTCATTCCCAGCTTTTTGCTTGAATAAACTCTTTAAAACTGGATTCTGATCCTTTCAATTATTTCAGGTTGACCATAGCTTAGAGCCATGCTGAGCAAAAGGCTGCCTGAATTTACGAAGCCACTTCTGGGTAGTGACCCTAGGACAGCCTCCTGCCCCCTTACAGCATCTGCTCAGGCTGGACAGCATAGCAGAGTAGGCCCTGTCCTTGTGTGCCCACCACCTGATGGGGGGCTTGAGACCTCAATCCAATGAGGATGTCCACTCTGTCACGTACTCGAGTGGCTACTGGTCTCTCCATTACAGTGTTTCAAACTGCTCCAGCCTGCCAAGCTAGATTAGACAAGACGTGCTCATGTAATTTAATGACCTGTGAGGGTGGGGTGGGTGAGAGCTCTGCCTATGAAGTATGTTACCTGCCCAGCAGGTAACACTATCTGGTAAGCTATCTGCTGGGCAGAGGATCTGTCCAAACTGACAGCTTCTTACCTGGACATGAGCACTGGCTGACCTCTTTAATCACTTCTGTGTCATCAAGGACACTTCAAGCACAAACCTTTGTGTTCCATCTGGGAGGGAAATTTCCCAAACCTTATACCCAGGTTCATCCACTTCTGAAATAGGATAGGGCACAGTTCTGATCCCCATTGCCACCAACTGGTCACCAGGGAAGACAGCTCCAAAGGTGATGTTGAAGAGTCTTGTCCCAGGGACCGTGTCTGTTGGAAGTTCTCATCTATTACAGCCTGTGGTTTACCGGCAACAGACTCTCCCAGTCTCCCTTAATTAAGTCCTCAGAGCTAAGAGCATCCTGTTTTCTCTTTCCTGTGAGGGGACTAGAAAGGACTAGGGGTGTCTGTGTCCTTTGATAATCTTCTCCCCTTTCCCCCCAAAGATGCTCTTGTCTCTTAGAGTCAATCCTTCTTTAGCCAGTAACTCAGGAACAAGGCCGAGTGAGGAACCACAGGAAGGATGTGATCAGCGAGGGCCATTTTGAGAACATAAGCCCATTCATAAACCCGAGGGCAACCCAGCAGCATCAGTCAAAAATTGCCAGCCATTCCTTATGCAAATAACCACTAACATACTAGCCTCACCATCCCAGGTAAGAGTGCAATTTATCCAGCTTTGTCCCTTTGTATGTTGGCTTAAGTAGCGGCTGAACACAAAAAAATAAGCTCGCATGTGAGGGCTAACCACAATCTTCTTTGTGTAGATTATAGGCTCATGGAGGTCAAAAGAATCCTTACTACTGTTGTCTCTCCTCAGGACCGAAAGTTATTCAATCACATTAGAGTCTGAATAATAGTTTTTTTTTTTCTTTTTTTCTTGGAGACGGAGTCTTGCTCTGTTGCCCAGGCTGGAGTGCAGTGGCATGATCTTGGCTCACTGCAAGCTCTGCCTCCCGGGTTCAAGTGATTCTCCTGCCTCAGCCTCCTGAGTAGCTGGGATTACAGGCGTGTACCACCACACCCAGCTAATTTCTGTATTTTTAATAGAGATGGGGTTTCACCATGCTGGCCAGGCTGGTCTCGAACTCCTGACCTCAGGTGAACTGCCTGCCTCAGCCTCCCAAAGTGTTGGGATTATAGGCATGAGCCACTGTGCCTGGCCTGAATGATAGTTCTAAAGGAAGGTCTATATCATGTTTTTAAGCATTAATTGGATGATAGGCTAGAAAGTTGATGTTCTGAAGCTTTTACTTCTAAATATCAAGATCACACTTTTGACAGAACTCTGAATGCACTTACCTAGCCCTTAGTTACAGGCTACAAGTGATCAGAACTCAAACTGAATCAGTCTATGGGCATATTGAGGCCTAAAGGTAGAAGCTGGCCCAGATGGGATGGGCTGTACTTGCTAAAACTTGAGCCCTTATGCCAAGTCAGTATTCCTGCTGTACACACTAAGACCTACCAGGCACTCTCCACGTGGTCCTCTTTGGGGCTTCGTTCACACCAAAGGATCATCCCAATCCTGCAAAACTTCAACGGAAGTGGCAGGGAACATAGTAATACTGAAGCTTGTGGGCATGAAAGGAGTTCTGTTTTGACCACCATCAACTTGGTCACATGCCAATCAGTGTCTGACCACGTGTGCTCCAAGAATAGGTGGATGCTATAGCTTGCACCAGATACCATGATGTCACTCTATGAGAAACAAAGAGGCAGCAGATGAGAGGTGTGCTGTGGATGAGGCACTTTGCCAACTGCCTTCCCTAGAAAACCATAGCTGGCCAGCCAATCGGGATTGAGACAAACTTCTAGCTGGAGTTACAGCTGTGATGTTATACCACCCCATGAGATCACACCTCAGTCCTACCCAGGGGCACTCTTTAGAGAGAGGCAGGTATTGAGTTATATTAAAACCTAGAGAAGATGATACAGGAGTTGTTTGAGATGAAATAAACTTCCTATAAGTAAGACCAGATGCCTAAATCCTGAAAACATTCATCTATTTGCTCCCACATTAATCTATTTGCTCCCTGGAACATGACCAGTTTTGATTAGAATTGCTCATAAAGATAAAAGCAGACTTAAGCTATTTGACCAAGCTGAGATTACTTTTGCATCAACCTAATAGTACTCTGTGCTCAGAGCTCACAGATGTCAGTTAAAGAGCATCCTCCTGATCTGTCCCCACTCTCGCTCTCCCAAGGATTAGAGTGGGGTAGATGAAACTCACCTGGTAACTTCAGCCTCATTGCTGGAGTAGGGCTAATGCAGGAACATGCAGGCCCCAGAGCTGTTGAAGCCATAGTCCTGCTTGGCCATGTGGCTCACCAGCATAATCCTCCCTGTGGGATGCTGGAACATCACCTGCCATAGCTTGTAAGTGGTTCCTGAGCCTGACAGACAGGAGCGGGGTTGACCGTGCAATCAAGGAGATCTAAGGAGTTGAATGCAAGGCAGGAAAGAGGCACTTGTTCACTTACTTGTTCTTACAAAAAAGAGGTACTTGCTTCTCTCATCTCCTCTCAAATGCAAGACAACCAGATCTTTTACTAAGTTGGCAAGATAGAACACTAAAAAGGCCCAAAAATCAAGGCTGACCAGAATCTCCCCCCAAAAAATACTAGACACAGGGCTACTGCTTGGAGTTGTGCAGGCTGTACAAGTTACATAGCTTCACTCAGCAACCCTCACTGTCCCTCCACCACCTGGCTCGGTGTGAGCAGGGCTCAGCAGAGAGGACCGGCAGAAGAGGCTCCCAGTTGGAGGCAAGACTGGCAAAGACAGGGGTACCTCCCCAGGTAGGCAAGATGAGACAGGTGGGGCTCCTGTCTCTAGGATCTCAATAGGCTGCAGGGAATTTGAAGGCTGTGATGTTGCTTGCAGGCTACCTGCACACTGTATGGGAGAGTGGTAGGCAGGTCCATGTGGGCTGGCCAGGGATTGCTTGGTCAGTCCTCAGTCCTACCATGGGGAGTGCATCCAGCCAATGCTGACATCCATTGCTCAGGGTCCTGGGCTTCAGAAACCATGGGCAATTTGATCCTCACAGACACCTGCCAACAAGCAAGCTCTTCATGCAGCTCTGTCTCCTGACTCCCCTCCCCTCCTCCAGTTACAAGTGTCTTAGCCTCTCCTTTGGGATCCCTACACCACATGGCTGTAAATGCAGATTCCCAGGACCTGACCCAGCAGATACCCACACAGGTCCAGTTACATCTCCTGGAGCAGGGATGCAGCCTAAGGGTCACGTCATTCATAGGAATGGCCTTTCTTGTTGGGACCTAGGTTCTCATGAGATATCCTAAGGGCCGAGGGCCTGGTTGGGGCACCAGCTTTGATGCTACTTCTGAGCCCAAGGCAACAGCAATGAGCCACGTGGTTGGATGATGACTGTGTACAGCCCACCTACCTTTAGGCCTCTGTTCCTTACCTGCCAACCTAAATCAAGATTTGAAGTTGTATTTTTAATTGACTCATAATAACTGTACATATTTATGGGATACAGTGTGATGTTTACAATGTGTAATGATCCAATCGGGGTAATGCGTATCCATCACCTCAAACCTTTATCATTTCTTTGTGGTAAGAGCATTCAAAATCCTCTTATAAATATACAATATAAATTATAAATATGATAAATATACAATATACTATTGTTAACCATAGTCACCCTACTGTACAATAGAACATTAAAACTTATTCCTCCTAACTGGAATTTTGTACCTTTTAACCTATCTCTCCTACACTTCCCAGCTACCTGGAACCACTATTCTATAGTCTCTACTTCTGAGATCAGCTTTTTCAGATTCCACAAATGAGTGGGGTCACGTGGTATTTGTCTTTCCGTGCCCGGCTTGTTTCACTTAACATAATGACCTCCAGGTTCATCCACGTTGCTGCAAGGGACAGGATTTCATTTTTTAAAAGTGGCTGAATGGTATTCCTGTGTGTGTGTGTGTGTGTGTGTGTGTGTATCTAATCTATTTCACATTTTATCCATTCATCCAACTGAGGGACTGAGAGGGACTTAGGTGGATTCTATATCATTGTGAATAGTGCTGCAATGACCATAGGAGTGCAGAGATCGCTGACATTCTGATTTCCTTTCAACTTAATCAAATCTTGTTTCCCGAAAAGGGTCTATTTCATGGCTGATAAGGCTTAAGTACTAAGGGACTTGGTTCCATGAAAATATCAAGTGTGGCCTCACTTCATAGAACGAAGGAGGTAGTTTCGGCCCCAGGAGACCCAGCATTCTGGCTGGGGTTACCTGTGCTCACCTCCATGTAGTTCCCTTCAGAGAATCTTCCTCGAGGCCCATGTGAAATAGGGACAGGACATGGTATAGTTGTAGGTGGTTTCTTCACCAGCTTCCATGAACCCAGACACCTCGATGTTCACACTGAGGGAAAACCATCTATTATCCTGGAAGAAGGGCAAGAAAGCACCGAAGTCCCAGGGAAGATGAGGCAAGAATCAAATAGGGAGGTTTGGCCCAGTCCCACCTGGCTCAGTGGGACTGAGGTACGGGTCTCTTGTTAGTAGACAGACGGCTGGAGGTGTGCAGGGAAGGGAGCATGATGAAATAGAGCAGGTAGAGATGCACAGAAGAGACTTAGGATTTAGTGATCTGACACTAATCTCACCTCTGTTCTGTTGAAGTGCTCCTGCTAGCTCCCTATACCTTTGAACCCCTAAATCCAGGCATAGCTGGGGCCCCAGTCTCCCCGTCCACCTTGCTGACATCGTAGCCAGGTTAAACCCTGCTATCCCACGAGTCTCCTTCTGATTGCTCTCATCTGCAGTTCTACCCCATGCCTCATCTGAGCGCAAGGTGCCTGCATGCGGCTTCCTCTAAACTCCTACAGCTTTGGGCCTCCTGCCACACTCTGGCAGTTCCCAGCTGTCAGTTACAGCCACCTGGAAATGCTCTTTTTTTTTTTTTTTTTGGTCCACCTTACAAAGGTGATCTATTCATTAGAGGTCAATCCTGGCAAGGCAAAGATGGAACTGTGGTCTCTGTTCTTAGACACAAGAGGACTCTGCAGCTGTGAAGACAGCCTGTGCCAGGCGGAAGCGATCTGCATCCAGGAGGGGATGCTGGATTCCCCAAATGTCCTCAGTGCTGAGGGCAGGGCCAGATTTCTTCCATATGAATCTTGGACACCTGTTTCCTGGGCAATTGAACAAGGGCATCTCAGAAGCTTGCTCACCTGGTTGACCACATGACAGGCCAGTACAGAGGCCCTGAAGGTTTCCCCAGGCGTCTTCAGACAACACGTAGCCACAGCGTGGGGCCACGGGAGGTGCGGCAGCTGGGCATCCAGGGGTCTGCAGTGGAAGGAGTATGGTCACCTGCCAGCCTGGAGGAGCCTGGGGGTCCTCAGAGTCCCTGGCACCAGAATCACTTAAGGCAACGCTGAGGGCTGGTCCCAGGGAAGCAGACCCAGGGCGTCTCATAGCGGGTGGGGACAGGCAGATGGGTGGGAGAACCGATGCTGGGCGGCAGGCTGTGGGGGGCAGCTGCGCGATTCTGTATCCTTGCTGGACCCCAGGCAGGCCAGTCTTTCTGGGTTGGGCGGGCTAGCAGGGAACCTGGGTGGGCTGGGGGTCAGGAGGTTGTTTTGGGGACACCGGGCTGCAAAAACCCATGAGTCCTTCCCCTGTCACCAGTAACTTCCGCGTAGAAGGCTTTGTTGTCTAGAGAGCCTCATCCGGAAGATGCCGGCGGGGCAGCTGCTCTCCACGAAGCCTGTGAAGCCCGGGTCGGTTCGGGTCAGTTAGAGAAGGCGCGGCCCCTCCCTGCTGCCCTGTGGGAACTCCACGTGGGAAACGGGGGGCTTGGCGGGCACTTGCATCCCATCCTTCACTGACCTGGGCGGAGCGAGAGGGTCGCTTGAGCGCCGAGGCCGGGGCCATGGCGACAGGAGCAGAAAGAAGAGCCTAGGCAGGAGAAGCGGGCGGGTTGGGCACGGCGAGGAGGAGCAGGAGGGGGCGGAGAGTGGGACGACCGGGCCACACCTACCCTGCAAGCAAGGGGCCCGCGGCGGGGACTCCACTACTGGGCTGGGGCGGGTCACGCGCTGCCCGGGGCTTTATCCGCGAGGCCTCCCAGGCGCTCCACCAGGTGTGGAAGCCAGGTCAGGTGCGCTCCGCCCGGGTGAGCTGCACTTCACTGCGGTACCCCAGCCTCAAAATTCCCCGTACAGTTCTGGGAGCCCTTCACGGCTATGCCCTAGGTGGACTTCACACTTCTGGGACAAATTAAGAGTGTCCTAGGATTCTTGGATTCAGCTGTTAAAAAGAAAAAATAAAATCTTCGGTTTTTCTTAAAATGTGTTTTAAGCATAAAAAATACATAATACAAATGCACAGTTTAAGGAAGTGATTCTACAGCAATCACATCATGTTCTTGATCACCCACAGCGAAGTATTGCTGGCACCCCTAAACCTCCCCTGCCTCCTCCTCAGTGGTCCCGATTTATTCAACTAGCCTTATCTGTTCTCCCGGTTTTAACATCACTTTCACGGCTGCGGAACTTCTGTGCAGAATTGTTCCCATTCTCTTGAAGGCTTAGGTTGTTTGCACTATTTAGATGTTATAAATAATGCTGAGACAAATATTTGTTCACAAGGATGATTTCCTTAGGATAAATTCTCAGTACAGATGAGGAATTTTCAGCCAATAGCCATCTTTATTTTCAAGGTTCTTGGAATATGTTGCCACAGTTTCCCCCCAAAGAGTTTTGCCAATTAACCATCCATCGGCAAGTCAAATCAATAAGTGCCTACCCTGAGCCAGTCCCAGGGAATAAATGGCAGATCCATGTTTAAGTCTCAGTTCCATCACATCCTTGCCAGCATTTGGTTTTAGTTTTCTGAGATTAAACAAATTTTTTAGTTTGCATCTCTCTGACGTTAGAAAGGCAAAACTCCCACGTGTGTCTGCTTGCTAATTAGAGCATCTTCTAATTGTATGTGTGAACTGTCCATTTACTTCTTGGGATGTTGATGTTGACCTGAGGCACTTGGATGTATTCTTTATGTGGTAGAGATAGTTGCCCTTTGCCATTTTTGTATGTTTTCAGAGCTGAGTGAGACCTGGAATTCACGTGGTCCAAACTCCTTACCATGGGTTGAACCGTGAGCCTCCCTCCGCTCCCCTCCACCCCAATTCTGCCACAAAGATATGTTCATTACCTAACCTTTAGAACCTGTGAATGTGACCTTATTTGGAAACATAGCCTTTGCAGAAGTAATTGGGAGTCTGAGAAGAAGAGTTCATCCTGGATCATCTGGGTGGATCCTAAATCCAATGTAAGTGTTCTTTTAAGAGAAAGGCAGAAGGAGACTTGGGATAGAAGAGTGGACAGCAGTGATGTGAAGACAGAAGCAGAGACTGGAGTTCTGCTGCCGCAAGCCAAGGAACACCTGCATTCACCAGAAGCTGGAAGAGGCCAGGAAAGATTCCTCGAGGCTTTGGAGGCCCTTTCCACAAGTTGGTGTCAGATTTCTGGCCTCCGGAACTGGGAGAGAATAAATTTCTGTCGTTTGAAGTCACCAAGTTTGTGATGCTTTGTTGCAGAGGGCCTAGAACAGGGATACAGCCTCCATTTTGCAGGTGGGAAGGACATGAGGGCCCAGGCTTATTCAGGGTCATTACTAAGTCCAGAGTTGAGATCCTAACCCAGGGTTCTTTGTCTCCTAGGCCATGAGACCAGGTGGAACATTTTCCCCCAGATGCCTCTCTGGTGTGCAACTGAGACTTCCACGGGGAACTCTGTAGCTGTAGGAATGGAGTGGGTGAAGTGAGCTCACACACTGATGAGCTCAGACCGTGAGTGCAAGGACCTAGGCTCTAGTTCTGGCTCTGCCACTTATTAACCTTGTGCTCTCAAATGAGTTATGTGTGGGCCTCCTAACAGTCTGAATAGCATCCTGTTGCTGCAGCTCCATGGTCTTTGCTTAGTGCCCTTGAGTTGTTGAGATGTGCAGACTTGTTTTACTCCATGGATGCTTTACAAGTGTTGCCTCTTTAGGGGTAGTGGCTACATGAGCAGAAATGGCACCATACTTTCATTTCTATTTGGTGGCTACTTCTCTTGATGCTTTAACTGTTACTCATACCCCTAAATCAGCTAGAGGGATTTGGGACACACCGCCCTATAACATGAAGCCTGTAGAAACTGAGTACTTGGACAGGACAAGAAAAGACAGGGATTTCTTTTCTTTTTTGAGACACAGTCTCACTCTGTTGCCAAGGCTGGAGTGCAGTGGCGCAATCTTGGCTCACTGCAGCCTCAGCCTCCCAGGTTCCAGTGATTCTCCTGCCTCAGCCTCCTGAGTAGCTGGGATTACAGGTGGGCACCACCATGCCCGGCTGATTTTTGTATTTATAGTAGAGTCGGGGTTTCACTGTGTTGGCCAGGGTGGTCTTGAACTCCTAATCTCAGGTGATCCACCCACCTCTGCCTCTCAAAGTGCTGGAATTACAGGTGTGAGCCACTGTGCCCGGCCAAGACATGGATTTCTAAGTGCTGTATAGCTGGGTATGGTCTCATTTAAGGATTCTGCAAAAAGATCTAGTGCTAGCTTGTCCACTGATAGACACTAGCATATGCAACTACTGAACACTTGAAGTGTCACCAGTGTTACTGAGGAACTGAATTTCTCATTTGAATTCATTTAAAATAAAAAATACTGGCTGGGCACAGTGGCTCACGCCTACAATCTCAGCATTTTGGAAGGCCCAGGTGGGAGGATCACTTGAGCCCAGGAGTTCAAGACCAACCTGGACAACATCGTGAGACCTCATGTCTACAAAAAAATAGAAAAAAAAAAAAAAAAAGCTGGGGATGGTGGTGCATGCCTGTGGTCCCAGCTACTCAGGAAGCTGAGGTGGGAGGATTGCTTGAGCCTGGGAAGTCAAGGCTGCAGTGAGCTATGATCTCACCACTGCACTCCAGCCTGGGTGACAGAGCAAGACCCTATCTCCAAAAACAACAACAACAACAACAAACCCAAAGCCAACAATTCAGTTACTAAAAAATTTTAAAGTACGGCAGTGGAGTGGGTGAAATGAACTCACACTTCATGTGAACACTTTGTTTGGAACAACAAATTCACATTTAAAGTATGTGAATCTGCCACTGCAAAGTTTATGAAATCTAAATACAGATCAAGTATTTTCAATGAAAATTTAGCACCCAAACTGAGATGGGCTGTTAAGTGTTAAATATATACCAGATTTTTAAGAGTTAGTATAAATAAAAGAATGTAAAGTACCTCTAACATTTTCATATTGTGTCAAGATGATAATATTTTAGATATACTGGGTCAAATAAAATAATGTTAAACAATTTCACCTGCTTCTACCACTTACTCGCTCTGTGGTTTTGGGCAATTCCCCTAAACTCTCCAGGCCTCTGTTTCTGCTTATCTAAAGTCACTGAGTGGAAAGGCCCTGCAGGCTCATCTCAGGCTGTGGCTGAGGGAGGATGAGGACACTTAGTGGGAGGGGTAGTTCTGCAGCCATACTGTAAGGCTGGGTCTTGGGAGGGGTCACAGCCCCTAGTACAACAGGAATGCCCACCCCCACCGCTAGCATGAGGGTACATCTTCCCAGGGCTTGAAAGTAAGATTTACTTGACACACTCTGCCTAAGAATTGGCTCTGAGCTTGGTTTGTTGGTTCTGTCGAAGGTAGTAACAACCGCATCCTTCTAGCTTCTTGAGCCCTTCCTTCCTCTCCACTGAGCTTCTGAGCTGGGTGGGCCTAGGACCCTCCCTGTCCTCTGTCCCTGGGCTCCAGGGCCCTGCCTTGGACCTGCCTGAGTAAGGGAACAAGTAGAGGGGCCTGCCCTGCTCTTCTCTGGGCTTTCCCAGTCTTCTCTAGGCGGCTGGAGGGGTGGGGATGAGGGCAACAGGGGACAGCAGCTTCTAGGATGGATACTTGGGGTTCCAGGCTGGATAATTGTGCTGGTGGTGGGGGGATCGGTGTGAACTTGACCCTGAGGCAGTCAGCAAGGGGCCCTGGGCAGCTTGCACGTGTATGTTTTGGTGTGGGGGTGTGATCAGGTCTGTGTGAGAGGAAGGGCAGAGGCTTTGCAGAACAGCAGAGGCAGATGTCTCTGATTTTGATCACTTAGTTCCACATACCTGGGGCTGCCTGAGATACGGTGCAGCTGTTTTCTGTCGTGCTGATATGCAGACAAAGCTAAAGAAGAGCCCGCGACCACTGAGCACCTGTTACGGGAAAGGTACCACGTGGGGAGCTTTAAGCACCTGCCATCATCGAATCTCCGTGGTAACCCAAGAGAGGAAAGGCCCCATAGAGAATTTCCCGAGGCTGCAGAGCTGGGCGGGGCAGAGATCGGATTTGAACCCAGCTGTCTGATATCAAGGCTTGGGGTCTTGAAGACAAATGGCTTACCCAGGGTGGGGTGGCTCACGCCTGTAATCCCAGCACTTTGGGAGGCCCCAGGCGGGCGGATCACTTGAGGCCAGGAGTTTGTGACCAGTCTGGCCAACATGATGAAACCCCATCTCTACTAAAAATACAAAAATTAGCTTGGTGTGGTGGTAGGTACTTGTAATCCCAGCTACTCGGGAGGCTGAGGCAGGAGAATCGCTGGAATCTGGGAGGCAGAGGCTGCAGTGAGCCGAGATCGCGCCATTGCACTCCAGTGTGGGCGACAGAGTGAGACTCCATCTCAAAAAACAAAACAAAACAAAACCACACACACACAAAACACAAACAAACAAAAAACAAGTTGCTCACCCTTAGCTGCACGTGTCCTCAGAAGCGGTTCACTATAACCCCAGTGGCCCTGGCTTCAGGGATGGGAATCGGGGAGGGGCCAGTCCTGGAGCAGAGCCTGGCCTGGAGCCCAGGTGGCGCTGAGTTCGCTCTGCTCCTGACGCCAGTCCCTGGACCCTGCGGTGTGTGTTCCCAGGGCGGGCAGGAAGGCTCTTAGAGGGTGAGCCAGGCTGTCCACAGGCGGCCTGAGGGGTCTGAATGGGAGGGCCAAGCGGCCTAACTCATGCGCGGTTTGCTCTTTAAACAGCTGCGCAGGTAGTCAGATGGCCTGTGAAGGTGGAGAAGGCCTTGCTGTCCCTCCTGGGACCGGGAGTCTCAACTTGCAGTCCAGAGGACATGGGACTCAAATCGGACTCGGCCACCGCCTCCTGGCCTGAGGCTGGCGGATCAGACGCTGCTGCCACCCGCCTTTGGGCTCGAGCAGGTCATTTTCCACATGGCCACTGGGTGTCGCCCTCGCTCCACGAGTGGGCCGCCCTCGCCTCTGTCCCCGGCTCCTTGAGCGCCTACTGTGTGCTGGCCTGTCCCGCGCGGGGAGGTGGCCCCTTGGCCAGGCTCTGTTCTGAAGGCAGATGGGCCTGACTCAGCCAGAGATGGTGCTGTTGCTCCCTGTAAACGCAAGCTGTTTGCAGACAACAGCAGGATGTATCCCGACTGTGTAAGAGCATGCTTTTCTGTGGATGGTATGGTTTGGCTCTGTGTCCCCACCCAAATCTCGTGTTGAATTGTAATCCCTATGTGTCAGGGGACGGACCTGGTGGGAAGTGATTGGATCAGGGGGGCGGTTCCCCCCTGCTGTTTGTTCTCGTGATAGTGAGTTCTCACGAGATCTGATGGTTTAAAAGTGTTTGGCAGTTCCCCCCTCTCTCCCTCTCACCTGCGACCATGTGAGGTGTGCCTGCTTCCCTTTCGCCTTCCACCATGATTGTAAGTTTCCTGAGGCCTCCCAGCCATGCGGCAACTGTGAGTCAATTAAATCTATTTTACTTACAAATTACCCAGTCTCGGGCAGTTCTTTATAGCTGTGTGAAAACAGACTTAATACAGTAGAGGTCTTGGCTGTGTAGTCTTGGAGGCTCACCTGTTTAAGGAGTCTCCAGACCTCTTGGTGTCCGTTATTACTTTTGTGCCCTAGCTCACTCCCTGGGGCTTGGGAGTGCTGGTAACAAGGCCCCGTGCCTTATCGAGCAGGGATGGAAGAGCCTCTGATGTCTAGTCACGTGAGCGTTGCTGACAGCCGTGGAAAAGCCACTGCCCAGGGGGCTTGCACCTCGCAGATGCAGGAGGTCCTCACTGGACCATCTGAATGTGCTGGGAGGCAGGTGGAAGAGACCATCAGCCACCATCCCCGGGCCATCCGTGCCACAGGTGAGTCACCTGAGGTCACACAGGACAATGGCTTGCTCAGGGTTACTCGGCTGGTTGGGGCTGAGGTCTCCTCTGCCTCAGTTTCACCCCAGAAAAGGTGCTGATCACAGGCTAAGTCATGATACCCCCAAATTCGCATGTTGATGTTCTAAACCCCAGTACCTCAGAATGTGATGAAATAAGGAAATAAAGAATTTCAAATAAGGAAATACAGTGGTTGAAGATGTAGTTAGTTAAGGCAAAGTCATAGTGAAGTCAGGTGGGCCCCTAATCCAACGTGACAGGTGTCCTTGGAAAGCGGGGAGACTGGACACGGCAGGAGGCAAGAGGCCGTGCACGTCTGCTGTTTAAGCTGCTCCGTCTGTGTGGCATTGTTGCGGCAGCCCCAGCAAGCAAATCCAGTGCCCACGCCTGGGGGGCTGCTCCCGCCCCTGGACTCTGCCCTCCTGAGCCTCCCACTGTGACCCCCAGCTTTCCTTTGTCTCCTTACTTGGCCCTCTGGCTGAACAACTCCTCTTTCTCTCCCCACTGCTTCCAAGACTCGTATTGTGCTCTGTGTTCCAAAATGACCCAGCCTGCATCACTTCCCAAACAGATCTATTTTTTCAGAAAGTTGAATTCTAGCAGAAGGCAGCAGGAAAACAGCCTGATCAAGCTGATTCACACTAAGGGGTGAGTGACTAACACCTGGGTAGTGTGATTCCAGGGAACAGCCTCACTTAGCTCTTCTAGGACACTTACATGTTCAAAGAGGAGTTTGTTAATTCCTAAAGAGGCCCTTTTGCCAAATGGAGATTATTTTGTAATGTGAATGTTTGTCCCCATTACAAGTCACTCAGTTAACAAGTTAGCATGTTTTCTTTCTGTGTCTCTGCTGCTGACTCAGGGGCCCAGGACTGGCTCTGGCTTCTGCACAGGCAGGTGTCCTCTTTGGAGGCCACCCCCACCATCCCCACTGACAGTGGTAGCCTGAGCCCACTTTCCCACTTCCCTCCTCAGTAGGAAGGACCAAGATGGGAGCCCTGCCCAGCACTCCCTGCCTCTTCTCCCCATGCCCCCATGGCTCCACTCTGGTTTTGTAAGAGTGGGCTTGCTCATTCGCTGTGATAGGGCTGCTTTTAGCCTCCCTGACCAGACAGGTTGCCCCTGGGGCTGAATATGTGGCCTCCTGGCAGTGGGGCTCTGTGGAAGTGCTGAGGCCCAGGAAATGTGGCACGGGGCACTACACGTCTGGCTTTAATGAGCTATGGCCTTCAGCTGTGGAAGGCTGGTGGTGTGGGGAACTGAAGAGTTCTGGGAGGAGGTTGGGGGCGAGGGGCTGCCTTCCAGGCAGGGTGCAGGAGCCTTGGAGAAGGTGCTAGAAGCTGGGGTTCCTGTGCCAAGGGCTGGGAAGGCAGGCAGAGTCCTGGTTGGTGGAGTCATGGATAGGGGCTGGGGTGGGTGTGGGGCTGGATGGTTTGTCCTGCTCCCATGCCAGCCTCCCTCTGAGTTTGTGGGCCCCTCCTGAAGTCTTGGTGTGCCTGGACCTGGGTTAAGCCACACTGCAGGGAGGTACATGTGTACAAAGTGATCTTTCTTCCAGAAGAACACAGTCTACGAAGGCATTTCTGCAAACTTGTGAGATGCCTGTGCACACCTTGTGGTGGCCCTGAACTGATGGCTGAGGTGTGCTATAGAAATTAGAGAAGGGAGGAAGAAGTTCATTGCCGGTTGAGCAGTTCAGGGAAAGCTTCCTGGAGGAGGCGGAGTTTGAGCAGGGCCAGTGGGGATGGAGGGTTTGTCCTGGAGGAAGGAGAAGGAGGGCAGTCAATGCAGGGAAATAACACACCTGACATGTACTCATGTTAGGGGCCACGTCCGCACCTCTCAACTCCCTTGCTCATCTCCAGGGCTTGCATCTGACTGAACTTCCCACTCTTCCCTCTCTACTCCAAGCCTCTCTGGCCCCCCACCTTTGCCCATGCCCCCATTCTCTCCAGCTTGTATGTGTATCTCACCCCCGCATCTTGTTAGCTCTGTATGCTGAAATCCTGCTAGCGTGTCCGGACACTTCTTGTTGGTTTCACCTTCCTCCATTTCTCTCAACCTTCCTCTCTGCACCAGAATCCGATCCATCTTCGCCTCACTTGGCAATTATAATCATTCAACCTCCCCCAAACCCTTGTTCATAGCCCAGCACACATCTGCAGGGCCCACAGTTTGCTGGGCATTGGGGGTGCACATTTTCTGCCTGCAGAAGTCCCAGGACTGGCAAGGTTCATACTGAGATGCCAGCCTGGGGACTCTGCCAAGGCCTTGGCAAACTTGTCTCAGCATCTCCCAGGCATTTGCCCCTTCCTGCCAGGAACAGGGCAGAGGCGGAGGTGACTGTTTCCCAAGAGCAATGGGCAAATCCATCTTGCTTGGGTTTATTCTCGTCATTTCCTGAAGTATTAGGTCACCCAGGTTGTTAGTGAGGACCTTATTTGGAGAGCCTGGCTTCCTGGTATGAAGTGGAGAACCTAGGAGGGGCAGGCCCTCTGGTCTTAGTGGCTACGCCATCAGAAACACAATCGTGTTTCTCTTTCACCGCAAGCACTGGGAATTGAAGTATGTACGGAAATACAATTCATAAATTGAGGGACTTTATTTTCACTGTTCCCAGGGTTTAATTTCCAGAAACAAAATGTCAGTGTTATGGCTGAAGTTCTCTTAGTTTTAGGAAACACATCATAACCCAGAATTGTTTATGCATAGTTCATGTATTATATGACAAGAACGGTTTTGAGAGTCATCAAGGGTCAGAGGACTGCGGTTACACGGCAACAAGGCGATCTGAGTGTGGTGAGTGTGGTGAGTGTGGGGATCCAAACCTCGATCTTACGTCTCCCCTCCCAGGAAAATCCCAGGGAGTGGTTGTTCTTCTAGAAGCCTGCAGCTGCGGGTAACCGGTTACCAGGGAGTGCGTGGACCTGTTGCTCACAGAGAGCCTGTGTGTGTGTGTGCATGTGAGCATGTACTTATGCGTGTGAGCATGTGTGCCTATGTGTATGTGCGTGTGCATGCACACTTGTGGTTAGTGTGAGAAAGAACACTGGCCGAGGCAGGAGAAATGGGCTACAGTCCTGCCCACCCACTTGTTACCATTGTGGCCGCTCCCCTGCGTCTGCAGTGTGGGTGCACGGATCCCTTCCTTAGAGGTCACCCAGCATTTCATGACATCTGTGTATTAACAGCAGAAGTGAAGGGGCTCTCGGGCAGCCTTGGGGATTCTGGAAATGCCCACTGGAGGAGCTGAGGCTTGCTGGACACTGGGCGTGTGGTCCTTGGATCTTTCCCAGTGGCGCCATGGGCCACGGATTCCGGCGGGGCTCAGGATCCAGTGGCTCTCCTACCTCCTTTTCCTTCACGTGGGTTGTTGGGCCCCTCCTGCATGCAGCGCAGCCAGGTGGTGAAGGTGAGAGCCGCTGCTGTCGCTGCTCCTGGCCTGTGGGAGAAAAGTCCCTCCAAGGTCACCTTTGTAGCTTGTTCATGAGCAGAGCATCAATTGGATCTAATATTTTTACAAGATGCCCCCCAAATAAAGATCAGCATTTGGCTCAGTTCATTTCAGCAGAGGGCTCAGCTTTGTCTGCTGCCCTGTGTATGGAGGGATAGACAGGAAGCGCCACTTCTAGAGATAGCTCTGGCTGCTGCCTCTCAGGAATCCTGGCCTGGGCGGCCTGACGGGGCTACCAGCTTCCCTCCTGAGGATCTGTTGGTGGCTCACACCAGGTAGGTTTAGGGGTGAGGGCTGGGCGCACCTGGCCAGGGCCTCTCCGCAAGTGCAGAGCCCTTGGTCCATCTCGTGCCTCCACTGGGATCCCCGTGTCTCCGCTTCTGCCCTGTTTCAAACTCCAAACAAGATTTTCAGATGGCAGAAACTGAAGCTTGGAGGAGAACAACTTAGATCAAGTTGACTTAGTGTTTGCTCTCAGCCAACGAAGCCCTGAGGCTGCCTTCCTCAGGGAGCTTTGCCCACATTTCTGAAGAGTGTGCAGGGCACGTTTCTGGAGGACAGAGCCTGCATTTCCAGACAATGGCTTTCAGAGGATGCTCTCAGGTCTCCCGTGTGCCCTGCCTGTGGTTAAGTGTCTTTCTGCTACATAAACAGCTCAGAGACTCAACTCTCCCGAGACCGAGACCGGAGAGGAGCTCTTACAGTGGTAAGAATCCACCTTGCCTCTGGCAAAGTTGCTCTGGATGAGGTTGATTGAGCTGCATGCCTCCATTCCTTCCAGAACAATGTCCCTCCTCACCTACATCCATGCCCAGCCTTTGGAGCCAGGGGCCCCACAGGTGCTGGTTGCTGGGATAGATAAGGAAAGCCTCAAGCCCCTTCTGAGACCCTCCCTACTAGCCACACATCGGAAGGAACAGAACTTTGAGCTCCCTCATCTGTAGCCGAACCTAGTGTGAGAAGGAGGGTCAGAGGAGGCGAAACTTTGAAATCGCAGGGCCACTCCTCTGCCAGCCCCATCGGCCTCACTCTTGGAGACTCGGGGATGAGTCACTGCTCTGACAAGCGGGTCTTGAGGACAGTCCTTGCATGCACAGCTGATGGGGAAGGTTCCCTGCTCAGGCACCGCTTCCTTCCTTGAGCAGAGCAAAGGGCCATCCTCACAGAGAGGCTTGCTTCACCTGTCGCGTGTGGCCCTGGGACTCTGGAAGCTGCTAGTGTTGTGGTGGTGGCTGCTGTCCCGGTGCGGCAGAGGACACAGGAGGCACGCTCCTCCCGCCAGTGGGGAATTGCAGTGTGTTACGTGGCACGAGAGACTCCAGCGCTGTTCTGAAGATGCCAATCCATGCTTGGGTTGTTTGGATTTGCTGTTAATTTGGGGACTCTGGCTACCCCGTCAAAGGCATGGAGTGTGCAGTTTTTAATAATTGTGATCCAACCATGCCATGATATGGGCTTTCTGGTTTCCTGGACACTGGGCAGCAGTAGTTTGAAGTTGGGAGATATTTACTCTGCAAAGCATTTTTCCAAATGTTCTTTAAGCTGATGCTCCCAGACTTTCATCAGGAGCCGGGCAGTATCGCCTCCCCTCCCCGACTTGTTCTTCTGGGGTCTGATGGAAGGAGATGGGGTCTGGAGGCCTGCAGGGGCAGGGAGCCTTGTTTTACTGCATGGGAATGTTGCTGAGTCTATCTTCCTGATGTTGTTCTTACATTATTTCCTCTGGTTGGAGTGAACAGGGAAGTGGGGGCACATCTGTGTTCTATGAAAGCTGACCTGGAGCTCCCCACGCAGCGGGGTCCACCTTAACTTCCCTTTTGCGGTTGGAGTCGATAAAATGGGTTATTGAGTTGTCCTTGTGATGGGGCCTGTATTGTCGGATCCTGTCCAGGGGCCAAGAGGTGAACTCAGACAGGATGCGTGCTTTACTCTGTTTGATTGATTATGTAAACGGGTGCTATGCAAATTGAGAAGATGTCAATATCAGGGGCTGCAGGTTTTTAGGCAAAATTGTTTGGGGAGTAAAGTGAGCCTGAAGAACCAATATTTTGAAAAGTTATTGCGAGGGGAAGAGACAGATGAAGAAAAGAATTGTTTTCTCATTTTCCTTTAACAGTAATTTGAAAAAAAAAAAATTACCCTTTGAAATGTTGCCAGCAGTGAATGAGTAAAAACCAGTGAAAGTTCAAAAGTTAGAGTCCTACTCTGGTTTCAAATAAGGTACTTAATGATCCTTTCCCATCATTCAGCAGGAATACATATCCACAAAATCTCTCTAAAATTTGATTTTGTTCTCCATTTCAAGGGGAAAAAAAGTGTTGTGAACACTCTGAACCTGGTTCCCCTGGCCATGAAAAATTCTCATGAAACCAGTACAGAATTGGATTTTCAAAGCTGCCTTCAGAGGGGCCTTGGTGTGGGCTTCTGGGAGGGGTGTGGGGAAGAGCTGCCTACAAATTGGATGCACATATAATTGATATTTAAGTCTCTCTCTGGAAATTTCTACTTTGATAGTTTACATCTCTGCTTAATAACATATTAAATCATTTCATAACCCTTAACAACTGTTTAATCTTTTCATTGTTGAAAAATGAGGTAATTGATCTAAACTGTGTTTGACTATGCCAGGAAAAACTTATTTAAATGTACCACCCTTCACCATGGCATTCAGAGGATTCTAGGGACCCATTTGGGTTTTAGGGTGTTCCACCTCCCCCACGATGGGGGTCTCACCCTGAGTGAGGTCAGGAGGCTGGTGGGGCTGTAACAGTTCTGGGAAGTTTGGAGCCTGGCCTTTGGCCCTTAGGCTTCAGTGTTGCTGCCATCTAGGATTTTGGCTCCTAACTGGGCACTGTCAAAAACATGCTTTTTTGGCCGACAGCATGTTCTATGATTTCTCACTGTGTTCAGCACGGTTGTTTGTGCACCATCACAGTTAGAATGCTCATGGCTGGGAGAGAGCGGGAGGGAGATCAAGTAAAAGCGAGAGAGAGAGAAAGTAAGTGCTCTGCTATTCCAAAAACAAGTATGCCTTCTCCTTGGGAATGACACCAAAGAATACCTTCTAAATGAAGTATGTTTCCCTTCAGAGATTACAGCATCAGATGATCAAAGTCCCCTGGAAATAGCTTTTGGCAACCCTGAGTTTCTCCGTAACTCTTCTTTGACTTAAGCGGGGCGGCCCTGTGCTGGGAGCAGCAGCTGTCTTTAGAGGCCTGAAGAACCAGGTGTGGGGACAGAGAGGTGCCCTGTGTCTCTGCTGACTGCTTTGCAAACCCTGTGGCCTCACGCTGGTTTGGGGCATTGGAGATGGCTTTGTTTCTCTGGAAAACTGATTATGGTACACAGGCTGGCATCCTGTGTCCGATAACGCAATGCAGGCATCTTCTCAACTTAAGCAGGGCTTTGGCAACCCTGGTGAAATGTATTGTCGTCAGCTACGTGTCCTGACGTCCTCCATGGAGTTGAGGAATGTTTGGACCTTGGCCCTTGAGCCCTTTCTGGTTTAAGTTTAATGAAAGTCCAGGCAGTCTAAATGTCTACCTGGCAGCAGGGAAGAGACCCTTCACGTTAATTATTGCTAAGCTAAACCGTCTCCTTCCAAGCCCTATAGACAGGCCTACACATTTGTATACATTTTATATGGTCTATTTCCATTATAAATTGCCCATAAATTAAACGCAGATTTTCTTGGGAACATCTTAAAAAAAAGGGAAAAGATCTGTATGATACATGTTTCTGGTATTGGAGGTGACGTGAATTACAAGGAGGGAGGGCAGTCCAGAGCGCCAGCTCCCCAACATGGAGGTCAGGCGTCTGGGTTAAGGCAACCCGAGTTGTGTGTGAACGGATGTGCGGTGTGCCTTTTCTCCATCATTCATGTTGTGGGCTGCACATCATGATTTAGAAAAGGATGGAGAGGAATGATTGACCTAGACAAGCTAGAGTGGGCTGGAAGGGGACAAGGGGGACAGTGCAGGGTGTTGAGTGTTTCTCCTCTTCCCCAAAGAACATCCTCAGGCTGAGGCTGGGTGCATTTGTCTCTAGGACAGCTGTTCTCGGCCACCGTGTGGTAATGCATTGGGGAGCTTTCTTCATTGTGAGGTGTGTTGCTGGCAAATTTGTTGCTAATGATAAATAACTCATGCATTTTAAGAAGTCAGAGCAGATGCAGGGCCGGGTGCCAGTGGCTCACGCCTGTACTCCCAGCACTTTGGGAGGCCAAGATGGGCGGATCACTTGAGGTCAGGAGTTTGAGGCCAGCCTGATCAACATGGTGAAACCCTGTTTTTACTAAAAATACAAAAATTAGGTGGGCCTGGTGGTGCGTGCCTGTAATCTCAGCTACTCAGGAGGCTGAGGCAGGAGAATCACTTGAACCCAGGAAGCGGAGGTTGCAGCGAGCCGAGATTGCGCCATTGCACTCCAGCCTGGGTAACAGAGTGAAACTTCATCTTGAAAAAATAAAAATAAAAAAATTGGAGCAGATGCAAGGTTCGTCTCTGCAATGTTTCCTCATTGCCGGGCATTCCCAGCTCTTTCTAGGGTGGCGAGCTAAGGGTGACTAGACTCCATAGAATTGTGCCCAACCTGAAGCCTATTCCATTTGTGCCCAGCTTTGCTGCCTTGGGGCCTTTGCACTTACTGCTCCCGCTGCTTGGCTTGCCCTTCTTCCTGATGTCTGCATGGCTTGCTGTCTCCCTCCCCTTTCAGGCCTTTGCTAATGAGATCTTCCAGCCTGCTCTATAGAAACAGGTATCCCAAGTACTCCCCTGTCTTGTCCCTGCTTTATTTATATTTAAACTTATCTCTACCTGATATGCTGTATATTTTACTTACTAGTGTTATAAACAATAATAAATATAGCGTTCAGGAAGCAGGAGTTTTTGTCTCTTTTCTGTTCTACTCTGCTCTAGTGCCTGGACCTAGTAGATGTTCAACAAAACTTGTTGAATGAATGCATGAACAGGTGCCCATGGATATGCATTTGTGGGTCATCAGTTACATGTTACAGAAGAAAAAGTTGTAAAAACTGCTTTAAGGGACTGGACTTCAGCCAGTCAGCAGTAATTCCAAAAAGACTGGTTTTTAACCTAAATTAAAAAAAAATAAAGGAATACCCCTTCCAGCTAAAGAAGGTGCTGACTTCCAGGGGAGTGAGTGCTTGTGAAGGGAGTGTTTAAGGTAGGTGAGGATGGATGCTTGCCAGGGATGCTGCTGAGAGACCTCTTGCCTAGGACATGGAGAAGTTTAGGTCATAGATACCCTTTCTCCCCTTCTCTATGATTCTGTCTAAGGTCATAAAAGTTTCTCTTCTGAGCTCTCCTAAAATTCACTATCCTATAATCGTGTGTGCTTCTGGTGGTTCAAATGATCCCAGGGCTAGTCCCAGATTGCACAGCTTTGGCTGGGGACAGGCCCAGATGGCGCAGGGTTCTCATTCAGAATGTGAGCCTTCAGGACACTGTCACCTGCCATGCTGGGGCAGCCTCTGCATCTCCAGCAGGTGGTGACCCTGGTGGTCCCCAGGCTGCCTTTGTCATAGTCAGCTGGATGTTTTCTTCAGGCCCGGGTGGTGTGGCAATTTTATCTTGTCCACAAATGAGGTATTCATCTCTTTTTTCTCCACTCAATCAACCATAATGTGCTGTGCTTTGCCCTTGAGTCTGCTCTGTTCAACAAAACTTGTTGAATTGTAGGGGCGGGCCCCATCTCCCAGACGTCAGACTGGAAACTTTCTCCCCTTCTTTCCCCACCATGGCATCAGCCCTAGCTCAGAATCCTGGGGGCTTAAATGTTATCTGCAGATGTGTGTTCAGTGTGCCCGATAGGGTGCCCAGACCTGGGTTCCGTAGCTTAAGAGCTTTAGGGATGAATGAAAGAGTTTCAAATAGGGCTTCACTGGGAAAGCTTGCAGAGGGCTCAGCGGGAATGATATACTTGGGCAAAGTGAAGCGAGCTCCACGTGGAGCAAAGAACCTATTGGTGGATGTGGTGTCAGACACCAGGCCCCGCAGGTGCAAAATAAGGGCCAAAACCAAAACTCACCTCTTTTCCATGTTTCTTTCTCCTTTTTGTTTTTTTAAATAGAGACAGGGTCTCTCTCTGTCACCCAGGCTGGAGTGCAGTGGCATGATCATACTTCACTGCAGCCTTGAACTCCTGGGCTCAGGCGATCCTCCCATGCTAGCCTCCTGTGTAGCTGGGACTACAGGCTTGTGCCATTACACTTAGTTATTATTATTATTATTTTTTTTTTGTAAAGACAGAGTCTTTCTATATTTCCCTGGCTGGTCTCAAACTCTTGGGCTCAAGCAATCCTCCTATCTAGGCATCCCAAAATGCTAGGACCATAGGTGTGACCCACGGGACCTGGCTTCCATTTTTCTTCAGTGTGGGCCATGCCTCCAGGCTTGTGTGGGGTTCAGGAGCAGGCCGGGGACACTTTGGATCTCCCAGCACCAGGACACAGAGCATACTAAATGCTGTCCACTGGGAACAGTTGCCTTGGGTAGTCAGAGACCCTGAGCTCCATTGCAGATCAGCTGAGTGACCCTGGACAAGTCACACCACCTTTCCTCCAGCAGTAGAGTGGGGACTCAACCTTCTCTTAGATAAGTCTTTTGATGTTAGGTGGTGGATTTTTCTCTTCATTGTACAACTTTCTATGCTATTTGACTTTTTAATTCTATAGAGGCATCACTTTGTATAATATCATAGATATTTGGACACAATTTATGAAATACTGTATGATCATATCACTCTTGGCTCTGTGACGGGGGTGGCGATTGGTGATAAATGGCTTTGGGGGCATTACACTTCTGCCAAGTCTTTGTTCTCAGGCTGTGCCACTCCGGCCTGCACAGGGGGGCCCGCCCAGCAGTGAAGCAGCCCCTCTGGGCTGGAGCCTGTTCCAGCCTGGGGCCTGTGGGGAGTTGGCTGTGGATGAAGTCTTTTCCACGTGGGCTTTATAAATTGTTCTGTGGGGTCCATGAGAGCTGGGTGGGGAGCAAGAGAGTGATTTTATGGGCAATTTCCACATAGCCTTTGTGTGAGATCCCACACGTTGCCAGCTGGACAATGGGTTGCTGGCTGCTTCCGCGGCCAAGTCCTGGACTGGGGCAGCTCCCACAATGTGAGATTAAACCACAGTGGTGTGATGCTCCCATTGACCTGTGGCTGGGCAGAGAGGCCCTAGGATCTCACAAGGAGGTTGACTCCAGAAACGCCAGGAAGGAGGTAAAGTGATGCATCCTCATCCCTTCATGTGTTATCAAGAGGACTTGAACTTCGATCCCTGAAAGCCAACATAACTTGTTCTCTTAGGAAGAATCGTGGTGTTGGAACCAGCAGTGCCTTTGCCATCATATAACCCAACTTTGGGTTTTACTTTAGAAGAAATAGTCTCTGAGACGGGTGTCTTTCGAGGATCACACAGTGGGTCAGTGATGTGGCTGAGATCAGACTTTTTTGCCCGACTTCATGTTGCCTCTTTGGACAAAGGAGGGGAGGAGGCAGGGTTTGGAGGGATTGGTGTCAGGCCACAGGGGGACAGCTTCCCAGAAACCCGGTGCTTATAGGGTACCTGAGTCATTAATGGCCTTCCCAGCCTGTGACCTACCTCTGCCCTTCCTGCAGCACTGAGCCTGTGCTGCTGAGATGCCCTGGTGCCTCCTTGGAGGCTGCATGGTGGGGGTAGTTGGTGGCTGGGAGGGGACAGGCTGCCTGGTGCTGACCTGCCTGGGCATGTAAGGATGACCCATTGTTCTCACCCTCTGTGGGTAGCCGCAGCAGCTGGGTGAGGGGCGCTGGGTCTGAAGCTCACGCCTGGACTTCCCTGGCCACCAGAGGGCTGAGCTCATGGCTGCAGCATCCCCGGTGGCCCTGCCGGCATGGGATGAGGGCTGGCCTCACCTGGGAGGTGCATCTGTGCTACTCACTGCATCATGAGCTTGAGAAAGTCTTTTCCTAAGTGGAACTTCTCTCAGAACTATTGCTTTGCCTGAGGGCATTTCAGGAACAGAGTGCTGTTACTCAGCCCTGATCACAGAGACCCTACGTGATGTTCCCACTCCTGCCCGTGTCTCTGTCTTGCTCCCCTGACTTCTTGGGCATCCATGCTTGAAAGAGGTTGGGACTTTTGCCATTTTGAAATTCTGAGTAAGTTGTGAACAAGAAGACCCACATTTTCATCTTGCATTGGGTCACTTCAGTGATGTAGCTGGTCCTGTCCTTAGCCCCAACTAGTCTCCCCCACCAACATGTGTTCCTAATAGATGATGGGGGTGGGTTAGGATAGGGCAGAGCAGAGGGCATCTCAGCATGGTGGGGGTAGTTGGTGGCTGGGAGGGGACAGGGTAGTTCACAAGAGACACCCAGTGCCTACAGCCACGGTGCCCGTGAGGCAAGTCCCTCATCCTAATAGTGATGGTGATCTTGTCCCACTTTCCCAAGCCACTGCATTCCAGACCCCTGGTCTGACCCCCCTGGTTTGGGGAACATGCTGGCTGCCGGCTCATAGCCACTTGTTTGGGGTGCTCGCCTGTCTGCCTGTCTATTTCTGCTGACTCTCAGAGGCACTAGCCTTCAGCCATGAGGCAGCCAGAGGATTTGTGAGTTACCTCATTTTGTTCACATTTACGTGGCCAAAGCCCATTGCAGACAAAACACCAATAAAAGCCCAGGCGCTGCAGAGCAGAGGGAGCAGGGTTGTTTTCATGGTCCAAAACTTGTGTCTTTTTTTTTCCCCCCTTTTTTTGGCAAAAGAGAAAACGAAATAAGTTTAAAAACAACGTACAGTCCACATCTGATGGCTGAAGAATATGTTCGGCCTTCAGCTGCTTCCAGAAAATTATTCATGATTGATTTGAGCACTTGCTAGACGCTGACACTATGCCTCCTCACACTGACTCAGCCACTACCTGGGGCCCTGCCCAGGGCTTTCCGGCCTGGGATCGTTGAAGGATTCCATACCTGATCCAGGTGACTCCGTTTAGGATAAACTCTATGTTCAATTCCACAGGTGGGCTTGGGGCAGTGAAGCAGTAGTAGGGCCTTGTAGTGGGCCCTGAAGCTGGGCTTGAGGATGTCGGGTCATCAGTCATCCTGGGAACAATCCAGCAGAGGTACCTGCCCAGGTCTCAGGTGTCCTGGCCAAGCCTGGACTGTGTGGTTTCCAACTGTGGAAAAGCCCCTCTATTTGCATATCTTATGGTTCACAATTAGGAAATAATTGCCATTCATTTTCGCCCTCCACTTCTTTCAGGATTCTTGTGTAGCACCTTTTACCCTTAAGGGATCCTTGAGCTTTGCTGAATTAGATGAAAAGAACTCTGGTGGGAAGGTCAGGAGACAGCACCAACCCATTCCATGGCCCATGCTTGGGCCTCTCTGCAGCAGGAGCAGAGACCACGAAATTGACACTGCCAGTGACCAGGACTCATGAATGATTGCAATTCAGAAATGATTCAGAAATGATTGCAATTCAGAAATTCAGGTCCTTTAAAAATTTTCTGTTTTAAAAAGCAAGGGCATCTGAAAAGATCCACGGAGGACTTTCTTCAAACAAAAAGCCTCACATATAGTACAGATAAACTCAGAGCTGCTGTTCTGATAGGACAGGGGCACGGAGAAGACACTGATGCCTCTGGCTGTAGCTTACCTTGTCCCTAGGCTCCTCTCCCCAGCATCCCTTAAAGGGCTCTGTGCACTCCCCAGAGCTTCATCAAACATCGTTTGAAAACCAGCGTGGTCACGTGTAAGGACATCACAATATATGGCAATTTGATTCTTCCCCCATCCCTACCTGAGCAAAACAAAATAAATCCCAAATGGCACCAGAGCTCCCTTAAGACCCAAGAACGAAGGAAGGAGACGGACTAATGTCTTCATGGGAGCTTCCTTTCTCTCCCGTGTCGTTGAAACACTAGTTGTTGACAATGTGATGACCTCCATTCCCTGAGCTTTCCCTTCTCAGCCAAGTGGGCTTGTTCAGGCCCTTGGGAGACCCAATTCAGGCCCTATTCTCTTCAGGTCATCCCTTCATTGACCTCGGGCAGCTGTGAGCTGGCAGGGCCCTGGTCCTCAAATGTCTCATGACCAAACACTTTGGGGTGTGTTCTCAAGGTCTCCCAACTCTTCTACAGAGTCCTGCCAAGCCATTCCACAGCAGGAGAAACCAAAAGAGATGAAGTAGAGGGACAGAGGGAGGTACAGGTAGTTGGGGATTCAGGAGGCCATAGTTGTTCTATTAAAATTCTAGACTGATTGGGCAGGCGCCATGTTTGCTTAGATGATTAATATTTGTGAGTAAATGAAGATATGGTGGGGGAAAATGAAAGGCAGATTTCAACACAATGGAAGAACATTTCTGAATTGCAATCATTCATGAGTCCTGGTCACTGGCAGAGTCAATTCTGTGGTCTCTGTTCCTGCTGCAGAGAGGCCCAAGCATCAAAGTGCTAGATGGGGCCTTGGACTAGAATGACCCTGAGTGTCCATTCTCACCCTGTGACCTATCCCTCTTTTAATAGAGAAAAGGTCTTGCTCTGTTGCCAAGGCTGGAGTGCAGTGGCGTTACAGCTTACTGCAGACGCAAACTCCTAGACTCAAGTGATCCTCCTGCCTTGGCCTCCCAGAGTGCTGAGATTACAAGTATGAGCCACCACACCCAGCCTTGACCTCTTTATATATACCTCCCTAGCCCTGCCATAAAGGTCTTAAAATCTAGAGAAGAAAGATGGCCCACTTTGGCTATGTCAAGTTCCCGGGCGAAGTGACTTTCTTTGTCTTTGGAAAGCCGACTTCCTTCTGCCCAATGAACCTGGCGAGGATCAGCCTAGGGAAATCTCCGCTTGTTAATGGTGTGGAGACTGAGCGGACAGAGATGTGTGTGTCCCGGGAGGCTCAGCCTGGAATGCTTCACTTTCAGGCGCCAATCGCAGGTAACCCCCCATTGGGTGGCCTAGTTTCCTCACTGGGTCAGTGCTGTAGATCTTGCTCTGCTGGGCTCACATTTTGCAAGTTTGTTTTCAATTTCTGGGTTGGGGAAGGCAGCCTGGAATTTTAGCTTGACTTTTGCTACCTGGGTTGTAGCAGCTAAATTGTTGGACACAACTGACTGAAAGAAAGTAGGTGTCTTTTCTGAACTCCACAGAAGTAACTAGCCTCTTATGTGATCTTTGGGGTTATCCATTTAGTGCCCTAAACTTTTGATAGAGTTGGACTCTAAGGCTCTGATGGTCTCACAGACACTTGGGTCTGGGAGGGATCTCCAAGCCACCTCCTACCTTTACCTACTAGAGGAATTCTTAATGTGGTCGTAGGCGGGTGGTCATCCTCTGCTAGGATTTATCTTGGAGTCACCGCCTTTTGAAATGTCCCACCACAGCCTGAGCTAAGAAGATAGACATGGAAGCATCTTGCAACCTGAGAAGCAGTGCAGATTTGGCAGTATGATGCCCCTGTAACCTGACAATAGCCTGTACTGCTTGGGTCCTGGCTTGCCTTCTGGGACCACAGAGCCTGTGTGCTCCCCTGCCCCCATAGAGCCCTTCAGGATCTGCAGCCAGAAAGGGGTCTGCCAGCCCCTCAGCCACACCTGGGACTGCATGATGCTGTGAATCAGGATGCCTCTTCCTCTATTTAGGGAGGGCCACCAAAGCGACCAAATGAGGAGGAGTCTCCAGTCTTGATACCACCGTTCTTTCAGGATCAGAGTGCAAGAGGGAGAGAGAAATAGGCTCTGGGCTCTACCTGGTGGTCATGAGTCTTCCTGCAGTCCTGGGAATGTTGGGCTCTACCTGGCCTTGGTTCAGAAGGGGCTGAGCTGCTGTGCTTCCATCCTTTGGAGCCAGCTTTTCAGTTTGGACCAGATCTTTTTTTATTGTTATTATTATACTTTAAGTTCTAGGGTACATGTGCACAACGTGCAGGTTTGTTACATATGTATACATGTGGCATGTTGGTGTGCTGCACCCATTAACTCATCATTTACATTAGGTATATCTCCTAATGCTATCCCTCCCCCCTCCCCCACCCCACAACAGGCCCCAGTGTGTGATGTTCCCCTTCCTGTGTCCAAGTGTTCTCATTGTAAAATTCCCACCTATGAATAAGAACATGCGGTGTTTGGTTTTCTGTCCTTGCGATAGTTTGCTCAGAATGATGGTTTCCAGCTTCATCCATGTCCCTACAAAGGAGATGAACTCATCCTTTTTTATGGCTGCATAGTATTCCGTGGTGTATATGTGCCACATTTTCTTAATCCATTGTATCATTGATGGACATTTGGGTTGTGGACCAGATCTTTAAAGCATCAACTAGTCAAGAACTCAAAAAGCAGCCAAAGCTGTGCTCAGATTGGTGGAAGAATGTGGGAATGAGAAGGGGAAGAGATCAGCATTTATTATGCTCCTACTGCATACTGGCTTCTTTTATGTAGTGTCTCATTTAATTCTCACTTAACTCCATGAGTTAGTGGTGTTCTTGTCAATAAGAATTCTAGTCCTAGATAAGTAGGTGTTAACTCCTGGCTACAGTGGAGTTTGAATTGACCTCAGGACTACGTGTCCTGAAAGCCTGTGCTCTCAGTTGCTGGACTAGCCTGGCTTCATGGCCCAGCTCTGCACTGCTTTGAACAGGACTGCCTTCTCCTCTCTGAGCCTCTGCTTCCCATTTGGAAACTCATATTGGACCACACCCTTTTCAGAGCCATCATCCATGAATCTCACCCCTGAGTTTTTCTGAGAGTGAATGTAGCTGGAAGGTGTTTAGGGAGGCAGCAAGCCCTTTCCGACTGGACAGCAGCATATTCTGGAGCTTCTTGCCTGGGAAACAATCAGTTGCTGGGTTTGACTCTTTCTGCTGTCACCATCAGCATGTTTCCCAATCAGGAAAAGAACTTCAGCTTCCCTGTTGGCACTGCGCCACCTCCCTAAGCAAGGTGTCTCTGGGGAATGCCTTGGTTGGCTTACCCTTTGGTGTTCACAGTGTTGGGTATAGACTGAGCCCCACAGAGCCCTAGGAATCCTCTGCCAGCGAGGCTGTGTCCCCAGGACAGAGCTGATGTGCTGATTTGCAGCCTGTGAGTGGAATTGTGCTAGGCTGGATATGTGGGGTGCAGACACTCGTGGATGGGACAGAAGATATACTCAGGCAGGTCTCTGCCAGAACTCAGGAAATATGGCCTCTCATCAGCTCATAGAAAAGAATATTCTTATGAAGATCCTTTGGTGGAAAATACATTTTGGTGCTAGATTCCAGTGGGTTTATGCTTTTGCTGTCTTTCAGTGTGTGTAGCAAGAGCCTGTGCACAGATTCAACATCTAATTTACAAGGAGTTTGGAAGTCCAAGATGTTCTAGCTGTAGGCAGAGACTGAGCTCTCTGGATGTGCCTCTCCAGCATGCGGGGACCATTGCCTCTGTGTGTGTATGTGTGTGTGTGTGTGTGTGTGTGTGTGTGAGCACATGTGTGCCTGTGTGGGGAGATGACACCCATAGGGGGCTGGTTGTGTGTGGTCCTGCCCATATTCTTATCTATACCCTTGGGCACACATGTGTCCATCACACCTGGGTCCAGTGCCAAGACTTCCGTTCGGACTTTGGAGCCATGTGTGACCACATCTGTGCCATGTGTGATCCTCAGTAGAGCTTTCTTCTGGTTCAGTGGGGAGATTGTAACCCAGCAGGAACAGCGCCCTGGGGGTGGCTGCACAAGTGCTTCTGCTCTGGGGCCTCCCTCCTGGCCCCCTGCCAGCCCCAGTATGGAGGGGAAGGGGCTTTGAAAAGCTTCTCGCCTGTTAGCTGTCCAATATGCTTGAAAGGATACCAGCCTAATGAGTGAAGTTTTAGTAAATCAAGACCATGTGGTCAGCTCCCCCTTGAGATGCTCCTAGTTTAAGAAATTGGTGGGTGGGAAACATTTTTGGCAATCACCCCTGAAGCTTCTCTTATATCCTCTTTCTTTTTGCTCTTCAACCCCCAAATCCGAAAGAATCATATGGTTTATTTTTAAAACAGAAACAGCCCTGGATTGCCCGGTCTCCAGGGGCAAGAACATCTCTTCCCATCATTCAGGTCTAACCTGGGGACAGAAGGCAGCCCTGGTGTGAGGGACAGAGGCTTGGGGTCAGGGGTGGTGGAAGACGGGGCATCTTTTGTGCTCATAGTGGGCCAGATGACATGGGGAATCCCAGCGTTTGCCTGCAATGCCTTGGAAAGAGCAAGCTGGAGCCCAGAGAGGTGTGGGAATTGGCTCAAGGTCATCCAAGGAGGCAGCACCAGGGTTGGCTCCTTCGCCCATGCCTCCTGCTTCCAATTTGGGGTTCTTTCTATTGAGAAGTCTCAGATTTGAACGTTGGGGTGGGGTTTGAAGAAGAAAAATCTTAGAGAAAGAAGAGGAAAGACTTTAGATTATAGAAATGAGCAAGGGAATTCCGGGATGATGGGAGAGAGGAAAGTATGAAGGAGCAGGGGAATAAGCTCATCAAGAGTGAGAGAATTGTGTGATCAGAGCCCACAGGGCATGGCTGCAATGCAGTGAGTCAGGAGTGTTTGGATCAAGCCTGCCCCACATTGTAATTCCATAGAATGGCTGTTTCTGAGGGTAGGAAGCCTGCAGGGGTCTAAGGCCAGTGTTCCATGGCAGTTTATATTGCAGGGAGCCTTGGGGGCTGGCACTCAGGTTGGGGGAAATTGGTGTTGTCAGACAGATCTTGCCTTTGCTCCCCATCCAGGAATACACTTGAACTTGACTGTGGATTGGGCAGAACTGGCAGTGTGAACTTTCACACATTCCTGACCCTTGCTAAACTGTTCATGGCTCTCCAGCAAAGGCATGGGTGAGCAGGGGGAGCACCCTGGTCCCCTGGGCTTGAGTCTGAGCCCCACTACCTTCTCACCCAGTGACCACTGGCACATGTGTTCCCTCCCCCAGGCCTTCCTGTCCTCATCAGTGGGTGGTCTCAGCACTTCTTGCCCTTCTACCCATGGCGGGCCCCCTTGTTTGTGTGTTTAGCTCGCTCTTCTCTGTTCTTCTGGCAATAGTGCTCCCTTCTTCTCCATGGATGGCCTCTCCTCCATGTGAATTGAGTGCTCCTCATGGAGGCTGCCAGCTGTACTCACTCTCCTCCCAGCCCTGCTCATGATCAGAATGAGGTCAGTGGTCTCATCCCACTCCTCTGGCCACAGTCATTTTATAAGAGAATGTCAGGAAAGAACATGACCAAAATTGTTCCTGAACATATAAGACACCCACTGGTGAAATCTTCACTAAGAAATAAGAGAGAGAGACTTGGAGGGGTGCTGAGTCCATGTGCAGTGCATGGAAGCTAAGAGCCTCCATTGTGCTGTTGTTAATGTGACCAGATGTCAACCCATGGGCTGGTGGGGACTGAGAGGGTATTGAAATACAATAGGGTTGCATCTACTTGGTAACTTTTGCTCTCCAGGGAGAGAAATCCCAGCACAAACCAGGGTAAGCAAAAAGAGAACTTATCAACTCACTTCTCTTAAAAGGCAGAGGTTGGGCTGGTTTCAGGTGGCACTTCACTCAGTCAATGTCACCAGGGTCTAGCCTCTCTCTCGTCTCTCCCTCTTCCTCACCTTCAACTCCACTTCCTCTGGATTGACTCCATTTGGAGGCCAGATCCGTCTCTCAGGGTACTAAATGGCAGCCTTAGCTCCCAACCTGATATTCCCTCAGATTCAAGTCCAGCAGGAAATATTAATAGCAGCGGTCTCTTTCCCAGAAAATTCTGCCAGTGTCTCATTGCCTCTCATTATTTCTGACTGAGTCCCAAATTAATTGTTGTGACTGGGGAGCTGTGATAATCTAGTTGGTTTTTAGGCTTACATTATAGGCTCCAGCCCTAATTATGGTGAGAAGCTCCACCAAAACCTAGGATCTAAGAGTGGAGGAGAGAATACATTTATCAGCAGAAGGGTGAGTAGATCCTCAGAGGCAAAGGCCACAGGAGTCTCTCTCAGAGACCTTTAGCACTCAGCAAGCTGCCCACACCTCAGAGCCACTTTCACATTCTCTGTTCATCGTCATGGACACTGTAACTGCTATGAGGTGATTCAACACTTGGTTCCAGTGGGAAAAGGAATGACCATTAAAGAATGCCAAAAACTATTGCTGGAGATAGATGTATAGAGAAACTGGGTGGGTTAAGAAAATGAGCGTTTGAAGTTTTGGACAAATTAGAAGAAGGAATGTTGAATTCAGCAGGGACTCACTCCAATGGTGTAAATGAATTTACCAGGAGTTCTATAAGAAAACACCAGGCATCTCCTGAAACCATTTTAACAGCTTCTCTAATGGTTCAAAATGGCTCCCCAAATGAGAGAAAACTAATGGAAGTTGGAAAAACAGTTACCTGTGATTCAAGAGAAAGCCTGGATCTGGTACAAACATTTGAATTTCCTTGACTCTATAGTTCATAGACATCTAAGAGTGCATCGCTTATGGAAGTTAAGGGCCCACCCTTCTTTCTGCCTTTTCTGCTGCAGAAGCAGTCTTGGTATCACACAGGAACGTAGGAGACTGTGATTTTTGCATGTCCAGCACCTCGTTTTTCTACTTCAACAAGCAGCACCCCAGCTCTCCTTTGGGCGAAATCCCCTTCCCCCATGCTCATTTCATGCAGTTCAGGTGGGACCAGCAACCGACCCCCACCCACCTGTAAGCTGCTCCAGAGTGAACGTGTGACCCAGGGCTGGCCGATCTGCTTATTCCATCTCCCTGGTCACAGTAATTGGTTCAAGAATGGGCAGATGGCTCAAGTCAGTGAATCAGAATCAATCATGGAACTTCTATTGGAGCTATGAGGAAAGGGCCATGAGGGTGCTAAGCTGGTAGGATGTTCACTGAGAGCCACTGGTGGAAGCATTGCTACTTCAGACAGAGCCTGAGAATGAAGGCGACACAGAGACAAGCAGCGCCAAAGTTTGGTGAGAGATACGGTCCTGTCCACAGCTTCTGAGGGCCTGAATCAGCCATGCCTGAATTTAGACCTATCCCTAGAATTTTCAGATACAGTGAGTTCTGTGTGTGGGTTTCTCCTTCTCCTCCCTTTCCCCTCCCCTCCCCTCCCTCCTTCCCTTCCTTTCCTTTCCCTTCCCTTTCCTTCCCTTCCCTTCCCTTCCTTCTTTTTCCTCTTACCCACTCTTATTCTTCTTTCCTTCCCTCCTTTTTCCTCTTCTTCTCCCTTTTTTTCTTCTTCCTCCTCCTCCTTCAGCCAGTTTGATTCATTCATTTAATAGATATTCACTGAGTGACCATTATGTGTACCCTTCAGTGTTTTTTCCAGACCATCAAATGTGACTTGGAAGTAATACAACATTTGTTATTTATGAAGACTTTTTTCATCCATTCGCTCATTATACCCCTCCTAGCAAACTGATAAAGTGTGTTACTTAGAACTCTGGCTACAAGTGACAGAGATCCAGAACCCCTGTCTTGGGCTGGAGGGAGAGACAGTCACCATACCATTCCCTGGTATGGTTCCCATTCCCCTCCTTACACTATCTGTCTCCCCAGGAGTCTCTGCATCCCTTCACTCCTAAAAAGCTTCCGTGTATACCAGCTCATTTAAACAGATTCCAAGAGCAATGACCAGACTTCTACTCATGTGGCCAGAAAGACTGTGAATTCCAGCTTGGCTTTAGTTGGGTCACCCTATGATGTTATGCTGTTATTTGATGCAATGACAGTGCACCACCACTCCCCTTGGCCCTGTCCATTTTGTGCACCGCTGTCTTGGGTATGCTCTTGCTTCCAATCCCCAGCACTTGGAGCCTGCAGCTCTTCTTTGAAGGACTTCCCTCATACCCTTGGGCTACTGGTGCTGCTTTACTTTGCATAGAAGCCAGAAATGAGTGGGCAGTTACCTCTCCCCTGGACCAGTGACTGTGAGGGGAGGGGTTATGAAAGCCTTTGCTGAAGGTTTGTCAATCCTGAGGAGTCTTACAGCAGGATCGGACTCAGAGTGTCCTCTGTGGGTCTCTGCCTACGATCAAACTCACTTTCTTTCTTTCCTTCTCTGTTCTTACCAGTTTCTCCCAGTTAGACTTCCTTAAGAAATCACTTGAATGCAAACTCTCATTTCAGGGCCTATTTTGGGGAATCTGACCCAAGAACCCAGGCTTTCTCCAGCTCTGTGGGACAAGGAGAATGCTTGCTTCTCTAAGTGTGGTCTGTGATGGTCTACAGATTTCACAGACAAGCCACAATCTGTTCTTTGTCATCTAGCCCCTGTTCTGGCTTGACCTAGGGGAGGTCAAGCAGTTAGCAGGGGAATCTGGTCTGGACTGTGCCATGTCAGGGACCTAAACTTGTGATCTCTCTGCCACTTCAGTTGTTTGTTCTACCTTCTGTTAGGCTGATCCAGCATCTTTGGCCACAACAAGATCCACCTGGCTCCTGTGACTACATCTGTGTTTCTGTCTGTGCCACCTGATTGATTAGAGGAGTCCCTTGGTCACCATGGGGGGTAGGGGGGAGGCTTCATGTCCCTTTAGAACTGGCTAGGCCAGTCTGTCTTCTGGACTGGGCTATGCCTTTTGATTTAGTCCCAACACTGAGCAAAGTAGACCCCAGTTAGGGTCAGCAGCTGTAGTTTTGTAAGATTTCTGCAACAATATGGCTTTAGATTATTTTGAACTAAGGAAGCTGTAATGGCCCATTCCTTTCCATAAGGCCTCCTGGAGCAGCTCTTATGGGCTTGCTGGTAGAAGGCAAAATCCCTTGAATGGACCTGGATTCTTGTATTGTCTCAACCACGACTTCTCTGAGGGGGTTTTGAAAGGCCCCTTCTTGGGGCCTCAGTTTCCTCCTCTGTAAAATGGGAGGGTCAGACTTGATGTTTTTAGAACATCTTTCCAGTATAGGCAGCCTGTCTCTGGCTAAGGAAAGTCTGCTGAATGTGAAGGATCTTCTAAGTATAGAACCTTGGCATTCAGAGGTATACATGGTGGACCCAGAGGAAGGGGTCCCTGAGTTGGCAATTGATAAGGCAGCTGTGGCATGAGTTTTGTCAAGAAGGAGAAACTCTGCTCTAGTAGGGGGAGTGAGGAATGCAGATAAATGGACTGGGAATTTTGAAGCCACAAATTAGTGTTGAAAGAAGCATCAGATTCAAACTTGGGGGCGCAGGGGAGGCTTCCTGGAGGAAACAATGGTTCCATTTAAAGTGATCAAAGTTCATTAAGCTGGATCTTGGAGTGAGTTATGGGTAGTGAAAAGTGACGATTATCAGAGGAGAGGATGTAGAAGCAAGCAAGAACCAGATCATGCTGGGCTTTGTAAAAATCATCTTACAAAAAATTTTGGGCTTTATGCTAAGAGCATTGTTTTAAACAGTAGAATGACATGATCTAGTTGGTGTTTCAGGAAGATTGCTCTGGCTGTGGTGTAGAGAATCGACTGGAGGGGCCACACCAGAGGCAGGGAGGCCACATGGGAGGATGTGGCTGAGATGAGCAGGATGAAGGCAGCATGAGCTGGGGTAAGGGTGGTGTGGGTGGAGAGAAGGGGGCGGATGCTAGACAGCTAGGAGGGACCACGGAGGGAGTTGCTTTCAGTTTTTGATTGGATTGCGGGGGTGAAGGGAAAGAATGAGTTAAAGATGACTACCCAGAATCAGATTCGGGCAACCGGGTAGACAGAGGCACCAATTACTGAGATCCGAATCATTGCATCAGGAGCACGCTAGAGACTTGGGGATGTGATGGGTATCTGGAAATCTCAGGTGGGACATCTGAGTGAAGAGCTGGATAGCTGGTCTTCTATTTGAGGAGAGATCTTAACAGGAGATATTGACTTGAGAATTATCAACATATAAGTTAATTTCAGCCATGGAGTAGGTGGTATAGATCAGAGAGGGGGGTTCTGATAAGAAGAAGAAAGTCTTAAGACACCCTTAATCATCTCAAGGCCACAGCACTTAAGAGCTTGGCAGAGGATAAACAGGTCACAATGGAGAATGAGAAGGAGCACTTGAAAAGGTGGAAAATGAAAACAAATAGGAAAAGAAAAAGATAAAATGAAAAAGAAAAAAATTTGAAAAGGAGGAAAATGAGAAGATGATGGTGTCATAGAAATAAATGTTCCTAAGTGTTTTGAGAAGAAAGGAGTGGTTGATTATGTCAGTTGTGGATGGAGTCTCAGAAGTGCCAATATCATTTAGCAATTGATAAGAATATTTTCAAGGAAGTGGTGGTGGCAGAAGTTAAGTTGGATGGCCTAAGGAGTAGATGGGAATTGGGAAGTGAAGATAACCATTTTAGGAAGTCTGACTAAGTAGCCATGAGCAATCCCTATCATGAAGATTGTGGTCTTGAAAACTTGTTTTCCATTAAAACAAATCAAGGCTTCTAGGAGAAATGGCTAATTCTGGGTCTGGAACAGTAAACATGAGATAAATCTGGAATGTCTTGTCATACCAGATAGTAAGGAAGCTGTCGAAGACCAAGGGGTCTGTGTTAAAGGGGCCAGGAGCCAATTTGAAGAGGCTTCTACTGGCAAAACATAGGAATCCATGAGTTTACAATAATACTTAAAAAAAAAAAAAACCCAAAACTACTTGGCCACATTGGAAGGATAAGAAACAAATTGATTATCTTGACAACTGGATAAAGATAAGGAAAGAACCAAGCATTTATTCTGCCTTTTCTATACCAACTGTGTACCACCATGTAACCAAATTATGAGAGAGGAGGCATCTTTTCTAGAAATATTCAAGCTAGAAAAGAACATAACAGGATTAGGAGGCATTGAACATTCTTGGGTACAAACATGGCACAAAGTCAACCAGACATTAAATGCTTCCTGATGAAAGAAACACCATCACCTATAGTCTTGCTAAATGGATCAAATCTGAGTCTGATCAAGCCACTAGACTCAGCTACCAATTTACAGGAACACAGAAGAACACGAGTGCAACATGAATGTTCAATCAACCAAATCCAGAGACCATGAGAAACCCTACAGGTCACCAATTTACAGGAACACAGAAGAACACGAGTGCAACATGAGTGTTCAATCAGCCAAATCCAGAGACCATGAGAAACCCTACAGTTCACATGATGGTTCTTTTACCAATACACTGTTAAAAAAAAGGGATCATGAAGAAACATGTAGATAATAAATACTTACAGGATATATCAAATAAGCAATGGGCAAGAGTAAACTGTAGTGCCTATGGATGCACTTTTGGTGGTGTAGCTACAAAAACACACAAGAAAGTGACCACTCTGAACATCGGAAGAGTGGTTCCTTCTTGGGGAAGGCGAAGTTATGATTGGAATGGAGCACCAGGGGCTTCTAACTGGAAAAATGCAATTTTTTGAACACGTTGACAAGGTTGTTCATTCAGCTATACATTTCTACTGGTTTTCTGTATCTGTGTTTTATTCTAGAATAAAAAATGTTAACAATGTCTGGCTATGAACTGAAGAAATGAGTTTGAGGAGGTTTGGGGTGGAATCTGGGGAAGAGGAAGGCTGCTTTGTTTTTGTTTGCTTAAAGTCGGGGCAGACTGGAGCACGTTTAAGCATTGATGGCAAAGAGCCAATACCAAGACAGAGGAGCTAGAGACAGCCCATGATCAAGAGATGAGACACTGAAGGTGAAAGTGATAGGAGAAAGAACACAAGGAAGGATTAGCCTCAGGCAAAAAAATAAAAAAGAAACTTTCTCCACTTTTAGCAGAAGTGAGAAAGGAAGGGGGCAGAGGGGACAACTGGTAGGCTTGCTGGTAAGCTGCTGACAAGTGTCTCATCCAGTGGCTGCCATCATTTCTGTAAAGTGGGGATGAGTTTGTCTCCTGGGACTGAGAGCTGAAAGAGCGTGGGGACAGAGTCAAGGATTTGAGAGTGGAGAACATTTGCACTAGCTCCTCGGGAAAATGAAAGCAGTGTGGAATAAGCTGGTGACCAGGCATTTGTAGTGACTCCAAACCTAGGGGTGAGTTAATTTCTTCAGTAGGATTTAGCCACCTGATTTAGGCATATGGAACTGGAGAGTCCAAATGATCCTGGGTTGCAGTTTTGTGAGATGGTTGCAGAGGGACATCAAGGGGACAAGGGTTTGATCTGAGAATATTGATGAGAAGGATTAAGTTGCATTATGTGTGGGCTATTTAAGAGTATATGGGTCTGATTTAACTTCAATATTTAATCTTTTAATCAGAAGAAAACCCTGGAATCTCGGGTGGGTGGGGCAAAAAGTAAAGACTTAGAAGGAAGGAAGGGAGAGAGGGAGAAAGAAAGAAATCAGGGCTGGTGGTGCCTGTGAGGTGGAAGAATTCACAAAGGAGGAGCATATTTATATAGTGAGAATGCATTCAGGTGAGTGAGCTGGAGGGATGAGAGGCTGTGGTTGGAAACTAGGGTGACTGAATTTAAGATTTTGGATGTAGAAAAGTACAGATAAAGACAAAGCCTAGGGTGTAACAACAGGAATGACAGTTACAGTGAGGAGGAGGTGGAGATCGCTGCTGATGAGAGGCTAAAAGAAGTAGAAGAAGCCCGGTGCTGTCTAGGTCATTCTTGGAACTGTTGAGGTCACCCAGGGACTTTGGTTGGTAGAGATAATTGTTAGCCAGATCCTGGAGTTTTTAATGAATGAAGAGAATGTCCAGGAGGTTGGCAGACAGCAGTGATATGGAATGGTCGTGGGTAGTATTTCTTGACAGTATGAGCCTCTAAAGAGCCAGGATTTGCACGAACAGGGTGAAGAAGTGTAGGTCTGGAAGAGCATGAGAGGTCAGAGAAGGTCTGCTTCCCCCTCTTGACCTTTGCCAGCTTCCTCTTGAGGAGGCAGCAGGTGAAGCAGTGTTCTTGGGGGTGGGGAACCATGTGCTGCATGACCGTTCCCAGGTGGCCATGGCCTTGAGACTAGACACACTTTTTGGATAGCAAGGCTAGCCAAGTGTGGTCAGCCCTTTGAACATCTGCCGAGGATACACTGTTCCCAGCACCTGCCTGACATCTCCTCTATGCTCGTGCCGATGGCCAGGCCTCCAGAAGTCCCTGTACAATGTTACTACATGTTTGATGTCCCTGAAAGAAGAGGGAACACATAATCATGATTTTAAAATAAACAGCAGAAGACAAAGTATTTTGGTTCTTGGCTCTACCCTATGCTGGTGAAGTCATCTTTTCGAGTGGGCTCTGGCCACTGTGTACTTGGAGGCCTTTGAGGTTTGGCAATGATTGGGCTTTTTTGGCAGAGGACTGGGCCTGTTCACAGATGACAGCCTCCATTTACCATAGTCAAAACTAGGCTCGGGCAAGACTGCAAGCTGGCAGAGGCCCACCCTGGGCTTATCCCTTGCTGGTCTGTCTGTCTCCGTCTTCCTGTGTTTTCTGTCTTTTTGGGATGGCACACAGCAACTCCATTGTTAACCAGAGAGACCCTTCAATGGGCTTGTCATCCAACACAGGCCAGACTTATGCTGGTGCTTGGTGGTTCTTAAGGATTATTCATACAAATGCAAAAAGGCAGAGGGCTAAATTCCAGTGCTAAAGCTAAAGCTTTGAATGTACATCAGCTTAAAAAGGCAGGAACCTTGGAAGGGAGATGATCATACAGACGGCTCCCATCATGCTTTAGTGAGAGTTTTGGGAGCCAAAGGGAAGAGGCTGAGAAGGAGAAAAGTATAGAGACCAGAGGTACCATGCCACCAGAACATGTATAACCACCATCTTTACTCTCCCCAGAGCTTAGATTACTGCTCCTGGAGGGAAGGTTGCATTATGCGTGGGCTATTTAGGAGTATATGGGTCTGATTTAACTTCAATATTTAATCTTTTAATCAGAAGAAAATCTCCTGCAGGTTCCTAATATGTAAGTTGTATTTAATAAAGCTGAAAAGCATCTGCCCTGTAAAAATACTATTAATATTTAAAGCCAAATGAGAAACTGGGAAAGATATTTGCATGATTTATGGCAGAGTTAATCAGCCCAATATACACAAGGCGATTACAAAGCAAAAGGAGAAAGAACAACCCACATAGACTAATGGAAAATTAAATAGGTAATTTACAAAAGAGGAAGTGAAGTGGTCAGGAACATGTAAAAAAGATGTTCAACATCACTAATGATGAAAAATGCTAATTAAACATGAAATATCATATTTTGCCTAATGGCGAAGGTAAACAGATTGGGTAAAAAAAAAAAAAAAATCAGTATTAGCTAAGGTCTTGAGAAGTGCTTATTTAATGGCAGTGTAAATTAGTTCAACCTATTTGTAAGGCAGTATGACAAGTACCAAAATATAAATGCCCATATCCTTTGACCCAGCAACCTGCTTTGAAAAAGTTACCCTAAAAAGGAAACTCTTCCAGTGGGGAAATTTATATGAGAATGTACTAGAATATTTATGAATTTCTGATTAATGAAAAACTGGAAAAAAACCCTAAATGTTTAAACAAGGGGGCTAGTTAAATTATAGCTCATACGACAGAGGAAAACTATGCATTCATCAAAAAATGATAAAGTATCTTCAAATCCATTGGGAGATAAAGAGATAGTCATTATTGTTTTTGAGTGGGGAAAACCCCAGACCTACTTAGATTATGTAACCACATTCTAGGTGGACCTTGCCTCACTGTGGGTATATCCATTGGCTTATAACAACCATGCTAGGATGTCAGGGTCCAGGTGAGCAGCCAGTTAGTCGAATTTTTAGGAAGATTAGTGTCTTCTCAGAACTCCAGAAAGAAAGGGGAAGCTGGAAGGTGTTGAACTCCAGTGCACCTGTAGCAGATGAAGTTCTGACCCAGGTGAGTGGTGATATGGTTTGAATTTGTGTCCCTGCCCAAAGTCCCCAGTGTTGGAGGAGGGGACTGGTGGGAGGTGACTGGATCATGGGGGCAGACATCCCCTTGCTGTTCTCATAATAGTGAATGAGTTCACTATTATGACCTCGTTGTTTAAAAGTGTGTAGCACCTCCCCCTTCTCTCTCTTCCTCCTTCTTGGGCCACGTAAGACATGCTTGCTTCCCCTTTGCCTTCCACCGTGATTGTAAGTATCCTGACACCTTCCCAGCCATGCTTCCTGCACAGCCTGTGGAACTGTGAGCAAACTAAACCTCTTCTTTATAAATTACCCAGTCTCAGGTAGTTCTTTATAGCAATGTGAGAATGGACTCATACAAGTGGGATTAGAAAGCTCTGGTCCTTGGCCTAGTACATCTATTGTGGGAGCAAGCACCAAGTGTGTATCCTGTGTCCTAGCTTGGTGACTTTGGAAATATGACTGTTTTCAACACCTTAGGGTCAATTTTTGAAAAATCTCTCTCCTACTGTGAATATATCCCTGCCTTAGGGGCACTAAGCACAGATGGGGCTAAGAGCACAGTCTCTGGAGCCAAGCTACCAAGGTCCTCATGCTGGCTTTGTCACTTACTATTCATGGGGACTTGGATAGGTTATTTCACCTTCCTTTACCTGGGCTTATTCTCCTCTAAAATGGGAGGAGAGCAAAATAGTCCACGTCTTGTAGGGATTGAATGAGTTAATATATGTAAAGCACTAAGAACAGTGGCTGGCACATCTTAAGTGCTGTATTAAATGTTTCTATTATTACTTTTTGCCATTTTAAAAATCTTTCTTTTTTTAATTAATTTATTTTTTTATTATTATACTTTAAGTTTTAGGGTACATGTGCACATTGTGCAGGTTAGTTACATATGTGTACATGTGCCATGCTGGTGCGCTGCACCCACTAACTCGTCATCTAGCATTAGGTATATCTCCCAATGCTATCCCTCCCCCCTCCCCCTACCCCACGACAGTCCCCAGAGTGTGATATTCCCCTTCCTGTGTCCATGTGATCCCATTGTTCAATTCCCACCTATGAGTGAGAATATGCGGTGTTTGGTTTTTTGTTCTTGTGATAGTTTACTGAGAATGATGATTTCCAATTTCATCCATGTCCCTACAACGGACATGAACTCATCATTTTTTATGGCTGCATAGTATTCCATGGTGTATATGTGCCACATTTTCTTAAACCAGTCTATCATTGTTGGACATTTGGGTTGGTTCCAAGTCTTTGCTATTGTGAATAATGCCGCAATAAACATACGTGTGCATGTGTCTTTATAGCAGCATGATTTATAGTCCTTTGGGTATATACCCAATAATGGGATGGCTGGGTCAAATGGTATTTCCAGTTCTAGATCCCTGAGGAATCGCCACACTGACTTCCACAATGGTTGAACTAGTTTACAGTCCCCCCAACAGTGTAAAAGTGTTCCTATTTCTCCACATCCTCTCCAGCACCTGTTGTTTCCTGACTTTTTAATGATTGCCATTCTAACTGGTGTGAGATGGTATCTCATTGTGGTTTTGATTTGCATTTCTCTGATGGCCAGTGATGGTGAGCATTTTTTCATGTGTTTTTTGGCTGCATAAATGTCTTCTTTTGAGAAGTGTCTGTTCATGTCCTTCGCCCACTTTTTGATGGGGTTGTTTGTTTTTTTCTTGTAAATTTGTTTGAGTTCATTGTAGATTCTAGATATCAGCCCTTTGTCAGATGAGTAGGTTGCGAAAATTTTCTCCCATTTTGTAGGTTGCCTGTTCACTCTGATGGCTATCTATGACAAACCCACAGCCAATATCATACTGAATGGGCAAAAACTGGAAGCATTCCCTTTGAAAACTGGCACAAGACAGGGATGCCCTCTCTCACCACTCCTATTCAACATAGTGTTGGAAGTTCTGGCCAGGGCAATTAGGCAGGAGAAGGAAATAAAGGGTGTTCAATTAGGAAAAGAGGAAGTCAAATTGTCCCTGTTTGCAGACGACATGATTGTATATCTAGAAAACCCCATTGTCTCAGCCCAAAATATCCTTAAGCTGATAAGCAACTTCAGCAAAGTCTCAGGATACAAAATCAAGGTACAAAAATCACAAGCATTCTTATACACCAACAACAGACAAACAGAGAGCCAAATCATGAGTGAACTCCCATTCACAATTGCTTCAAACAGAATAAAATACCTAGGAATCCAACTTACAAGGGATGAGAAGGACCTCTTCAAGGAGAACTACAAACCACTGCTCAAGGAAATAAAAGAGGATACAAACAAATGGAAGAACATTCCATGCTCATGGGTAGGAAGAATCAATATCGTGAAAATGGCCATACTGCCCAAGGTAATTTACAGATTCAATGCCATCCCCATCAAGCTACCAATGCCTTTCTTCACAGAATTGGAAAAAACTACTTTAAAGTTCATATGGAACCAAAAAAGAGCCCGCATCGCCAAGTCAATCCTAAGCCAAAAGAACAAAGCTGGAGGCATCACACTACCTGACTTCAAACTATACTACAAGGCTACAGTAACCAAAACAGCATGGTACTGGTACCAAAACAGAGATATAGATCAATGGAACAGAACAGAGCCCTCAGAAATAACGCCGCATATCTACAACTATCTGATCTTTGACAAACCTGAGAAAAACAAGCAATGGGGAAAGGATTCCCTATTTAATAAATGGTGCTGGGAAAACTGGCTAGCCATATGTAGAAAGCTGAAACTGGATCCCTTCCTTAAAAATCTTTCTTTTAACTGACCATAAAACGCTTTTTTTTTTTTTGAGATGGGGTCTTGTTCTGACATCCAGGCTGCAGTGCAGTGGCGCCTTCTCGGCTCACTGCAATGTCCATCCCTCAGGTTCAACCATTCTCCTGCCTCAGCCTCCCCAGTATCTGGGATTAAATGTGTGCACTACCACGCCAGGCTGATTTTTTTGTATTTTTAGTGGGGACAGGGTTTCAGCATATTGGTCAGGCTGGCCTCAAACTCCTGACCTCAAGTGGTCCGCCTGCCTCAGCCTTCCAAACTGCTGAGATTACAGGAGTGAGCCACTGTACCCTGACAAAGCATTCCATTTTGGACAGTATATTTTTAAAGAAGGATTTGAATTATTTCTCTTTAAAGTGAAAACTATGTGCATTCTCTAATACTTTTCTACTTCTTCAACCCTGAATATTAAAAAAGAATAAGCTTTTAGAGTGTATAGACACTTTCTTTTCTGTGGGTCAGAGTTTAGCTTTCATTGTCATCCAGTTCTCATCCATCCTCTCACTGCCATCACATGCCAGCAGCATTTGATGCAGCTGATCACTGTCTCTTACTGAAAATCCTGTTCTTTACTTGGCTTCCAGGACAGCAGTCTCTCAGCTCTCATACTGATTGGTCTTATAGGATCTTGGCTGTCCCCTCTCATCTTTGGATTTTTAGGCATTGTAATGTTTGTCTTCTCAATCCAACCTAATTTCCTCAAGCATCTCACCTAGTCTCATCGTTCTAACACCCTCTGTAGGTAGGATGATCCTGTGTCCTGGTTTGCTTGGGAGAGTTCTGGTTTTTGCCCAATGCTGGGCATAATTGGCCCCACCTTTCAGTCTCAGCAAAAGTCCCAGTTTGAAAGCTAAGTTATATGATCACCCTATCGGTAGGCTGATGGCTCCTCAAATTTACCTTCCCAAAACCTGGTCCCCTGAACCCATACTTGCATATTCAGCTGTCTATGATCTCCACTTGAATCTCACAAGGGACAAGTCCAAAATGTACCTTTGGATTTTCTATTTCAAACATGCACTTCCTACATTTTTTTTTTTTTTTTTTTTGAGACAGAGTTTCGCTCTGTCACCCAGGTTAGAATGCAGTGGTGCGATCTCGGCTCACTGTAAGCTCCACCTCCCCGGTTCATGCCATTCTCCTGCCTCAGTCTCCCGAGTAGCTGGGACTACAGGCACTCGCCACTGCACCTGGCTGATTTTTTTGTATTTTTAGTAGGGATGGGGTTTCACCGTGTTAGCCAGGATGTTCTCGATCTCCTGACCTTGTGATCCACCCGCCTCGGCCTCCCAAAGTGCTGGGATTACAGGCGTGAGCCACTGTGCCCCGCCTACAGTTTTAAATGTACTTTTTTCTTCTGGCTGCTCAGGTAAACTCTTCAACTTTTTTTTTTTTTTTCTCAGACCCCATACTCCAAGTCTTATGGGCTGTGTCTTTGGTGTGTTTTTAGAACACAAAGAATACTTTTCCCCAGAGCTTCTGGGCCCCTCTAGTGCCATCACTGACCTCTCTCTTTAGGTGTTATGAAGCCTCTGTCTCCCACCCCATTCCTATCCTTGGTGCCCTAAACTTTATCCTCTTCATAGTAACAGAGAGATCTTTTTAAAATATCTAGGTCATGGCATGCTCCTGTGGTTTTGCATAATGCACACAGGTAAATCCCCAATCCTTGCATGACTGGGGTCCCTGAGACATTCCCCCTCTGCTGTCATTTACTCTTCCTCTTGCTCACCTCCCTGCACTCTGGCAACACTAGTCTTTACACTGTTTCTCAAACTGGCACACTCATGCCTCAGGACCCTGGTACCTGCTATTCCCTCTGTCTGTAATTCTCATCTCTGATTAACATACATAGCTCATTCTCTCATTTTCCTCAGGCTTCTGCTCAATGTTTTTTTTTTTTTTTTTCCCTTATCAATTAGGCTTTTGGCCAGGTGCAGTGGCTCACACCTGTAATCCCAGCACTTTGGGAGGCCAAGGCAGGAGGATCGCTTAAGCCCAGGAGTTCAGACCAGACCAGCCAGGGCATTACAGTGAGACTCTGCCTCTAAAAAAAAAATTAAAAAAATTAGCTGGCCATGGTGGCACATGCCTGTAGTCCTAGCTACTTGGGAGGCTGGGGTGGGAGGACTCCTTGAGCACAGGAGTTTGCAGCTGAAGTGACCTGTGATCGTGCCACTGCACTCCAGCTTGGGCAACAGAGTGAGACCTTGTCTTAAATCAATAAATAAGGCTTTCACTATTATATAAAACAGTCTTCCTGCATTACTCTCTTCTCCCTTACCAAGTTTTATTTTTTTCATAGCAATTATTAGCACTTGATATATTGTAGAATAATTTGTCTTTTTATTGGCTGCTTCTCTAAGTAGGACCTAAACTTCATGAGGTCAGGACTTTAACTGTTGTATCTCCAGTGCATGGAATGTATTAGGTATTCATTAGAATTTATTCAATAGATTTTGAAAGTACATGCCAAGCACATAATGTCTTTTTTGGATACTTTTTAAGGCTTTCAGTTAACCTAAGCAGTGCAATTTACATAAGCAGAACATTTTTAAATGTTCGTTGAGAAGTTTTTGCAATACTGATGTCAAATTTGTTCCTAAGTATGTTTCTTTTTGACATAATTATAAAAGAAGCTGTTTCTTTAATTTCATTTTCCAATTGTTCAATGTTGCTACCTAGAAATACAATGGATTATATGTATTGACATATCCTCTGACATTGCTAATCTCACATATTCTAGTAGTTTTATTATCAATATTAAGTTTTGATAATTAAACGATCAGGTCACCTGTGAAAAGGAAAAACTTTTACTTTTCCCTTTCCAGTCTTTATGCCTTTTATTTCTTTTCTGTATTGAACTGGTGAGGACCTCCAGTATGATGTTAAATAGAAGTGTTGAAAATGGGACATCCTTGTCTTGTGACCAGTAGTAAGGGAGAAGTGTTCAGTGTTTCACCGTTAAGTATGGCACTGGTAGATTTTTTTTGTAGCTGCCCTTTATCAGACTGAACAAGTTTTTCTTTGATTCCCCATACACTGTGTGTGTATTATCTTAAAACCTTAAGTGAATTTTGAATGCTGACAAATGCTTTTTCTCTACATTTTGAGATAATCACGTGGTTTTTCTCTTTTATTCTGTTAGTATGGTGAATTTCTTTGATTTTCAAATACTAAATCAATCTTGCATTCCTATAATAAGCCCACTGGTTCACAGTGAATGATTCTTTTCATATATGGATGAACTCTATTTGCTAGTATTTTGTTAAGGATTTTTGCATTTGTGTTAATGGAGAATTTTCTCGTAATTTTTTTTCAGGCTTTGATATATCAGAGTATGCTAGACTCATTAAAAGAGCTGGCAAATGTTCCTTTCTCTATTTTCTGAAAGAGTTTACTTGTGATTGATGTTATTTCTTGCTTAAACATTTGATCAAATTCAGCGGTGGAATCTTGAGCTTGAAGGTTTTCTTTCTGGGAATGTTTCTGATACCAAATTCAATTTCTTTGCTATGTATAAGGCTATTCAAATTTTCTGTTTCACCTGTGTCAGTTTTGGCAAGTTGTGCTTTTCAAGGAATTTGCCCATTTCATGTAAGCTGGCAAACTTATTAATGAACCATTGTGCATAATATTCCATTATTATCCTTTTGATATCTGTAGGGTTTGTAGCACTATCGGCTCTTTCAAATCTGATATTAGTAATTTGTATTTTCTTTTTTTCTTGATCCTTCCTGTGAGAAGTTTATCAATTCTATTCATCTTCTCAAAGATCTAATTTTCAGTGTACTATTTCTATTTCCTATTCAATTGATTTCTGTTCTTTTATTATTTCTATCCTTCTATCTACTTTGGGTTTAATTTGCTCTTTTTTTCTAGCTTAAAGTGAAACCTTAAAACACTGATTCTATACCTTTCTTCCTTTCTCATGTAAGCTAAGAAATTTCATCTGAACACTCTAACTGCATCTCACAAATTTTGATACGTTGTGTTTTCATTTTTATTCAATTCAAAATATTTTCTAGTTTCCCTTTTGAATTCTTTGAAACTTATTTAGTATTTGTTTAATTTCCAAATGGTTGGGGGCACTTCTAGCTTTCACATTAATATTGATTCCAATGTAATTTGTTGTGGTTAAAGAACATACTCCATAATATTTTAATATTTTGAAATGTATTTAGACCTGTCATGGTCCAGCATATGGTGAATACTCCATAGCATTTAAAAAGAATAATGTAGTCTATAGTTGTGGATGTAGTGTTCTGTAAGTGCCGGTTTGACCAAGGTGTTTGATAGCATCATTCAGATCTTTTATACCTGTACTGATTTTTTGTTTAACAGTTTTATCAGTAGCTGAGGGGAATGATAAAATCTCCAACTCTGTGTATAGATTTGACTACTTCTTTTACTTCTGTTAAGTTTTGATTCATTTGTTTTAAAGCTTGCTATCACTTGCAGACACATTTGGGCTTGTTATGTGGAATTGAATCCTTTATCATTACAAAATGTCCCTTCTTATCTCTGCTAACACTCCTTTTCTTGAAGTCTATTTTATCTGATCTGCATGTAGCTCCTCCACCTTTTTTTATGATATGTGTTTCCATAGTTATTTTTTCTTTCCTTTTATTTTCAATATATTTTTTTTAAAAATTGAGAATAATTTAATATGTTGACTTCAAGATACAACTATATTCTGTGTAAGATACACCTGTATATGTCAATATTTTAAAGAAACTGATCCTTACAAGACCAAAATAACCCACAGGCCATGAGGTTGGTTTTTCCTTTTTTTTTTTTTTTGTTTAAACAAATGTGCACCACGATGTTTCAAAAAGTAAGACAAATGCCATCAATACGAAAGCTGCAGTTTGCAATATACCGCATTTAGAACCCAGGGGAGGTGAATTAGACAGAGGTGGTAGTCATTCTAATTAAGCAATCAGTTAACTTCACAAGTTGATATGCAACATCAACAGTGTCCAGTTAAGTTTCTTTTTTCTCGATGATCAGAGGTCCCACGTTGTCTCCAGTCTGTTCGTTGTGTTTTGTGTGAGACCCATCACAGAATGGGAACTTTTTATACCTCCAGCAATGGCAGTACACAGCTTTATCTTCCAAATCCTCCATGTCAAAAGCATGTACTATCTTGGGGTTGTCTTTCTGGATGTGAAGGTTCATCATAGCTTTATTCTGATGATCTTTGTCATAAAATCTTTTGTAAGCTAGATAACCAGTTGCAGCTCTCCCAGCAGCAATAGTAAATGCTGTGATCCATTCAACTCGTATGCTGGAACTGGAAGTCAGACTCATGGCGTCATTGCTTGCAAGGCGTGTGCACTAGAATACCAGGCACAAGTGGATTCCTCAACCTATTTTTATATTTATGTCTCATCTCACACACTATAGTTGAAACTTTTTTGTTTTTTAATCCATCCCAACTATATTGGCCTTATAATTGTAGTGTCTAGTTCATTTTCATTCAATATAATGATTGATATAGTTGGATTTAGGTCTGCCATTTTACCATTTTTAGGTATTTGTTGCTTCTGTTTTATGTCCCACTTTTTCTCTTTTCTTTCCTTTGTTTGGGTTAATTGAAATTTTTTTAGTATTCCATTTTGATTTTTCTATTGAATTTTTAGCTATATGTTTTGCATTATTATTTTGGTGGCTGCTCTAGGAACAACAATATGCATCTTTAGCTTATTTCTTTATACCTAGAGTTAATAATGTACTATGTCACATAAAATGTTGGCTGCTTAGCTATAATACAAGGAGGTCCCTTATCCAGCTCCTTTTCCAGACAGAATGTTAAGTAATACCTACCTTCTATGAACAGCAGAAGAAAAATTGGAAGCTAATAAAAGTTGATTCATGAGGTTTTGGGAATGAAGCCATCTCCATAACATAAAAGCAGCAAGTGCTGATATAAAAGCTGCAGCAAATTATCCAGAAAATCTAGCTAAGATAATTCATGAGGGTGGCTATGATGCAGGACAGGTGAGCCCCAAATTGGGGCTTAGCCTGTGAGGGTTCTTGGCTTCTCCCAGGAAAGAATTCAAGGGCGAGCCAGTGGTAGGGTAGAAGAATACAGCTTTATTGAAGTGGCAGTGTTATAGCTCCATGACTGCTCTTGCAGAGCAGGGAAACCCCATAGGCAGAGAGTAGCAGCTCAGGACAGTTCTGTAATCATATTTATACTTACTTTTAATTGCATGCAGATTAAGGAGCAGTTTATGCAGAAATTTCTAAGGAAAAGGTAGTAACTTCTGGGTTGTCGAGTCATTGCCATGGAAAGAGGTGGTAACTCCTGAGGGTTGCCATGCAATGGTAAACTGACATGGCACACTGCTGGGTGTGCCTTATGGAAAGCTGCTTCTACCCAGTCCCTGTTTTAGCTAGTCCTCAATTTGGACTGATGCCCAAGCCCTGCCTCTGGAGTTGAGTCCTGCCTCCTACCTCAGCTACACTGAATAACACATTTTCCACATAGACAAAACAGCCTTCCATTGGAAGAAGATGCCATCTAGGACTTTCATTACTAGAGAGGAGAAGTCAATGCCTGGGTTCAAAGCTTCAAAGGACAGGCTGACTCTCTTGTTAGGGGCTAATGCAACTGGTGACATTAAGTTGATGCCAATGCTTATTTACCATTCTGAAAGTCCTAGAACCCTTAAAAATTATGCTAAATCAACTCTGCCTGTGCTGTAGAAATGGAAAAATCAAGCCTGGATGATAGCACATCTGTTTATAGCATGGTTTGCTGAATATTTTAAGCCCACTATTGAGACCTATTGCTCAGAAAAAATGATTCCTTTATAAATATTACTACTAATTGACAATGTGTCTAGTCACCCAAGAGCTCTGATAGAGATGTACAAGGAGATTAGTGTTGTTTTCATGTCTGTTAACAAAACATCCATTCTGCAGCCCATAGATCAAGGAGTAATTTTGACTTTCATATCTTATTATTTAAGAAATACATTTTGTAAATCTATAGCTGCCATACTTAGTGATTAGTCTGCTGAATCTTGGCAAAGCACATTGAAAACTGCCCAGGAAGCATTCACCATTCTAGATGCCATTAAGAACATCTGTGATGCATTGGAGGAGGTCAAAATGTCAACATTAACAGGAATTTAGAAGACATTGATTCCAGTTCTCATGAATGACTTTGACGGTTCAAGTCTTGAGTAGAGGAAGTAACTGCAGATGTGGTAGAAATAGCAAGGGAACTAGAATTAGACTTGGAGCCTAAATATGTGACTGAATTGTAGCAATATGATGATAAAATTTCAATGGAGGAGGAGTTGCTTCTTAGGGGTGAGCAAATAAAGTGATTTCTTGAGATGAAATCTATTCCTAGTGAAGATTCTGTGAACATTGTTGAAATGACAAAAAAGGATTTAGAATATTAGATAAACTTAGTTGATAAAGCAGCAGCAGGGTTTGAGAGGATTGACTTTAATTTTGAAAGTCGTCCTATTGTGGATAAAACACTATCAAGCAGCATCACATGCTACAGAGAAATCTTTTGTGAAAGGAAGAATCGATTGATTAGGCAACTTCATTGTTGTCTTATTTTAAGAAATTGCCACAGCCACACCAACCTTCAACAACCACCACCCTAATCATTCAGCAGCCATCAACACTGAGATAAGACCCTCCACCAGCAAAAAGATTACAACTCACTGAAGGCTCAGATAATCATTAGCATTTTTTAGCAATAAAGTATTTTTTAGACATAATGCTATTGCACATTTAATAGACTACAGTATAGTGTAAGCATAACTTTTATATGCCCTGAGAAACCAAGAAATTCATGTGATTCACTTTATTGCAATATTTGCTTTATTGCAGTCATCTGGAACTCAACTTGCAATATCTCTGAGGTATGCTTGTAATGCTTTTGTAAGTTCATTTAGTCAAAAGTGAAACAGATGAAATAAATGTTAAGACATTGAATATTGGAGATTTTCTTCAATGATAATAAAAATACAAATTTTGGTAGAACACAGTGTTATAGAGGAAATAACTTTCTTACTAAATTAAGATATTAATAGACTCAGAATGTACTTGAAGTTGGTTGGGTGCACACATACTTAATAACTGTTTCCAAATGTCGTTTTTTTCCCCCATCAGTTGAATTAGAAAGTGTAGTTGTAAAAAATTAAGTAATTTTATATGTACTCAGAAAACTGAACTACAAAATTTTGTGACAAAACTGATTTTGAGTGCGAAATAATAGTTTAGCATGACAGTATACACTTTTCTCTTTCCTGCCTATTATCAGTCAGATTTTAGAAATCTTTGAATTTTTGAAGAACTACTTTGTGAATCAACTTGTGTCTTAAAATGTTGTAGAGCTTTTGTGTAAACAAATTCTCTAAATTTTGGTTCATTTTGTTTAAAACCAGCTGGAGATTTTAACCAAAATTAAGTAAGTGATTCATCTTAAGACATCAGCTTATGAATCTTTTTTTGAATTGTGACTACTAAAAACAAGCCCTGTAAGTAGGAAGACACTGAGATTTCTCTCTACAAAAGCAAGGGAGAAGCTGAAAAAAAAAATCACAAGAGATAAAATGGTGTGCCACACTTAATATTCAAATTTTCTAAGTGCTTTGGAATATCTTGATTTATGGGGTGAATCTTGTGATGGTGCTCACATGGTAGTTCAGTAAATTTGTATTCCGCAATGTGGTGGAATGGAATTGAGTAGGCCTATGATCTCGAACATGTAAAACTGGTGAACCACTCAAAAGAATCATAGAGACAACTTATTTGACATGTTTTGGCAAAGAAAACTACTCTGAGACAAAAGGAAAGTATCCGTGAAAATACTTGAAGTGAAATATTTACTCTTTTCAAATATGAAAAATAATTAAAATGGACAATATCCTCAATTTCACTAAAATTTCCCCAAGCTTTCCAGATATCTCAATACCAGGAGGCAAAATGTTTTCTCAATTAAAAAAATTGTGCTCTACAAAGAAGGGCCAATTCAAAGAATCGATGACTTCAAATATATGAATCATAACATGCAATTTGAAGAAAATTGCAGGCAATTTTATGGCAAAGTCTAAAATGATAAGATCAGCTTGAAAAAATTACAATCTTCGAAAAATTTGGTGATACAATATTAGAGGGTGATATGTCTAGGAAACAGAATTAAATATGCAAATCCATATCAAACATAAATTATTCTCTTTACATTATTTTTTAATGTTCAGATGATCAACATAGAGATTAAATTTTTAAAAAAAATTTCAATCTGCATTTCTTTTATTAAGAATGAAGTTGGGCATTTTTCATATTGCTTAACTATATTTCCTTGTCAGTGATTATTTATTTATATTCTTTCAGTTTTTCTGTTGAGTAGAAAGTCCTTTTTCTTCACAATTTCCAAAATCTCTGTCTCTTTTCCTAGTTGGAAAAGAAAGGATAATTTTATTTTATTTTATGGGTTTAAAACTTTTTTTTCTAACTTTTATTTTAGATTCAGGGGGTACGTGTGCAGGTTTGTTACCTGGGTATATTGAGTCATGCTGAGGTTTGGGGTGTGAATGATCCAGCCACCCACATGCTGAGCAGAGAGCCCAACAGTTTTTCAACCTTTGCCCCCTCCCTTGCTCCCACCTCTAGTAGTCCCCAGTATCTATTGTTGACATCTTTACAACATATTTTTTTGACTTGATGTACACAAGTCTATATTATAGTTTTAGAAGAAATTTTATTTACTTTTTTTTTTTTTGAGATGGAGTCTCGCTGTGTCACCCAGGCTGGAGTACAATGGCGCGATCTCAGCTCACTGCAATCTCCACCTGCCGGGGTTCAAGCCATTCTTCTGCCTCAGCTTCCTGAGTAGCAGGGATTACAGGCGCCCGCCACCATGCCCCGCTAATTTTTGTATTTTTAGTAGAGACAGAGTTTCACCATGTTGGCCAGGCTGGTCTTGAACTCCTGACCTCAAGTGATCCGCCCTCCTCGGCCTCCCAAAGTGCTGGGATTACAGGCGTGAGCCACTGCACCTGGCCAGAAATTTTATTTTTGAAATTAGTTTTTGAATAGAATAATTTTATGGTCTATCAATAAAATAATCAATTTGCAAGGCAACACATAAATCTTAAGAAAATTATTTAGTTTTTCTTACTGTTAGATCCTCCTTCCACTCTCAAAAGTGTCCCAATTTGAATGGTATATTATATGGTTGTGCTTGCATTGTGTTTGCCATGAACAGAATTCATGAATATTCTGGTGTTCCACCTTTCAGGTGGATGGTAGTTTTGTACTTCTCTGCTCTGCTTGTAATCAGTTATGGCCATATGACATACTTGGACCAGTGAAAGGTGAGCAGAAGTAATGTGTGGCATCTTTAAGAGCCAATGCATGCTTACCCTCCCCTTTCTGCTGCAGTGATCATGGAAGCATATGTCAAATAGAAGTTTATGTCAGGTTGCAACCTCTAATGGTGATGGCCTGGAGCATAGCTCCTAGCAATGCTGCATTAGAAATAAATAAGGGAGTGTTGTAAATAAATTCACACATTGATCTTCGTGTTGTTAAACCACTGAGATATTGGGATTATTTATTATGTAGCAAAACTTCACCTACCCTCATTGATAAAACTTAAAAAATTAAAAAAAAATTTTTTTTTTTGAGACAGGATTTCACTTTTGTTGGCCAGGCTGGAGTGCAAAGGCGCTATCTCGGCGCTATCTTGTCTCACTATAACCTCTGCCTTCTGGGCACAAGCAGTTCTCCTGCCTCAGCCTCCTGAGTAGCTGGAACTACAGGAGTGTGCCACCACAACTAGCTAACCCAGCTAATTTTTTTGTAGAAACAGGGTTTTGTCACATTGCCCAGGCTGGTCTTGAACTCTTGAGCTCAAACCATCTGCCTGCCTTGGCCTCTCAAAGTGCTGGGGTTACAGGCAATCGTGCCCGGCCTCATAACACTTTAAAATAAGTTAATCTATTAATTAATAAATTTAGACCTCAACTGGTCTCAAACCTGGGGCAGTTTATAAACAGCAAGATACAATAAAATATAGGGGGTTGGGCAAAGGGAAAATAGGGGTATGAAAATAAAAATGTTGGAGGTAAGATTAATCCTCAAACTGCAATCCTGTGTATGCATTCCCAGCGATGGGCCACCAATTAGTCTATAAACTTCTTAGCAGCAAAGGCAAATAGGGAAATCTGAGCAGTAGCAGCACCCATAGGATAATAACAAACCAGATTCTTAGGAAAAATCTTAGACAACAGTGGGGCAATGTGTCAAGAACTGGATGGCTTTCCTTCCAAAACTCAATCGGAGTGTCTCCCAATGGCTCTTTCTCACACCAGTTCCCAGTGCAAGCAGGGGCCACAGTGACAATATCCAAGTCAGGAAAAAAGAATGGGAGGTGGTGGTCAAAGGATACAGGCTGGACAAACAGCTTTGACGACCTGGCCGAATTTAACATGAACATTCCAGAATCTATAGCATGAGTGGGTGTCTTTTAGTCTATCCTTCCGTAAATGAGTGAATGAATGAATGAATGAATGAATGAATAAATAAATAAATAAATAAATAAATAAATATTTCCTGATGCGGCCTCTTTTAACAAAATTGTCTAGGAAGGAATTTGGTTATATTCCCTGGCAAGGTCCTGGGGCTGAATCAGACCTGGCTCCTACCCACCAGAAGCTTCCCCTCCAATGACAGGGCAAGATACATAGACAAACACCCATAGCATGGAATGAATTATGGGAAGAAAGCCCTGTCCATGCAGTATGCCCTGGGGGCCCTGAGAAGTCATGATGGCTCTCATGAGTGGTAACTGAGTCATTCCCCAAAAGGGACATGATTGGCCCTGGAGGTCTGTGTCTTGGCAGCTATTTAAGGTGTCTGAGTGCTTGGCATTGCTGTCTGTGAACAGCTTCATATCCAAGGACCATCTAAAAGGCCTGAGGGAAGAACATGCTGTGTTGAATAAGCCACAATGGCAATGAAGCCAGCTGTGCCTAGGCAGCCACAGTGTCCTCAGTGAGCTCGAGGGAGGAACATCAGCCAGGGCTGGATGAGGCCTATGAACTGATGACCTCAAGACTGGAATGTTTGCAAGAGTCTATTTTTGTTTCAGATAAAACCAGAAACAATGAGCCACTTGGGGAGCCAGCCTCCTGGAGATTGATGGTGAGGGGGCGAGCTGAAGCTCACTGGGGAAGTATGTGTGGCTCTCCGCTCACCCATATATTTCCCTGCAGAGCAAAGGCTGGGTGATGACTAGAACAGGGAAATCCAGTTCAGGCCAAGGCAGGGTCTACAGAGGCCGGGTGCTCTTTCACAAACACATTCAGTGTCTCTATCCATCCCTTCATCTATGTATGCCCCTCCACCCCGGAGCTTCACCTAGTACGCAGCTGGTGTCTGGTCCTGTTCTTGGCTAAGAGGGTAAGACAGGAGAAGGTATAGGCCTTGTTCTCAGGAGAAGACCCCCCAGGCAGAACACCACCAAGGAAAGCACCTGACCCAAGTGAGAAGCCATTTGGAATTCAGGGTCCTGGAACTTCATTCATTGCTAACCCACCCTAATCAAGGAAAAACAATGTTTTCCCTTTAGAAGGCTTTTCTTCATCAATCCAAGAGCTGTTGATGGAGAAATCTGTGTGCCTGGCTCTGCACTTAGCAGGGTGTGTGGGTGGGGAGTGAAAGGGAGCACCTCTCCAGCTAAAGACTCTTGCATCCAGTTCTCAGAAGAGAGTTAGAGCACTAATTCTGGAGGTGGAAACCCAGACACCATTAATCACCCGAGGACTGCCTGTCCTCCATCACCTCCCCTCCACTGTGACACAAACCAGGACTTTTAAGGAGCTTGCTGAGAGCCACTCAGCTAATCAGAGGCAGATCTCCCAGACCTGTATTTCCCCCCTCCCGCCGACACCAGTGAAGAGCAATGGTTGCTCCTTCCTTCATCAAATAGTCCAGAAATGAAGGTGGTGGGGAGAGGTCCTTCACCCTCAGGCCATTCCCTAGCCCAGGCTCCCTTTCCTTCTTTGACCCTCCTGGCCTCATGGATCCCTGATCCTATACTCAACACCTATTAAGTAACCTTCACACCTGGAGGTTTCTAAAGCTCCCAGTGAGGAAGTCTGGACTTTGCTGGGGAAATCACACCTCCCTCTGCTGTCAATGCTAGGTCTGTCTTCACCCCAAGAAGAAGTGGGTTGGGCTCTGATGTCCCTGGCTGATGGCCACATTGCTGTGTGTTTCATGCTCATGTTCCCCTCTGAGTCTGTCTGAAGACAGAACAGAATCAGGACATGAGGAGACTCGGCTTCCAGCGGGACTTGCTGGCACCATTCATAGTGTCTGGGGAAGCATGTCAGTGATTTGGCAGGGCTGGGAACTGTGGGAGCCCCTCCATGAATGCGTCACTGCATGGGCCATTCCTGACTGCAAGGAGATGGTTTGGGAATCAGATGTGTTTAGTTTGCAGGGTTTTCAGATCTGACATCCAGAAAGACACCAGCTCAGAACCTGGTCCAGAGTGAGATGCAAGAGGGCCTGTTACAATGTTCAGATCCTGACTTCAAGGTGCTTTTATCCAGGATACCTAAAGTGTTTCCCTCATTGGTTAGAAATGATCAGTAGAAAGACTTACAGTGGGTTACTCAAGGTACTATTTGTAGTACCAACTTGGTATTAAGTGAGGTTTGTGTGCTATAATCTTTAACTGGTCTCATGTGTACCTTGTCTCCCCATGAAGAAACCACACTGGGTTGCCTTAAAACTCTATTTTGGGCCTGGCACTGTGGCTCACGCCTGTAATCCCAGCACTTTGGGAGGCTGAGGAGGGCGGATCACGAGGTCAGGAGATCGAGACCATCCTGGCTAACACGGTGAAACCCCGTCTCTACTAAAAATACAAAAAATTAGCCAGGCGTGGTGGCAGGCACCTATAGTCCCAGCTACTCAGGAGGCTGAAGCAGAAGAATGGCATGAACCTGGGAGGAGGAGCTTGCAGTGAGCTGAGATCGCGCCACTGCACTCCATTCAGCCTGGGCGACAGAAAGAGACTCCGTCTCAAAAAAAAAAAAAAAAAAAAAAGAAAAAACAAAAAAACCCCTCTATTTTGCATGTTCAAATGTCTATTGAAAAGATGTTTTGAGAGAAGCAAGACCCTCTCAAGAGAGAGGAAGTAGGATCAGCTTCCCCCAGCTCCTACAGGGATCATTCGTTCTTTCAATCGGCAGACACTGAGCCATCTCTGTCAGGTTTGGGCTGGTAGCAGGCTACAGAGATGAATTGGAAGTGATTCTGCCATTGAGGTGTGCGGATTCAAGTAGGTGAGATTGACATGTTTGTAAAACACCATAGTAACCTCAAGGCATGGGATGCTGCGTGGGAGGAAGGCTACGTTCTGAAACTGTTCAGTGGGTTGCTCCCTAGAAAGGGCTTCTTGAAGGAGGTATTGTGATGGCAAATTTTTGGTGCCAACTTGGCCATGGTGCTCAGATATTTGGTCAAACATTATTCTACATACTTCCATGAAGGTATTTTTAAAGATGAGATTAATGTTTAAATCAGTAGGCTTGAAGTAAAGCAGACCACCCTCCATAATGTGAATGGGCTTCATCCGATCAGTTGAAGGTCTTAAGAGCAAAGACTGACCTTGAAGCAAGGAGGAATTCTGTAGCAGATGACTTTTGGACTCACACTGCAGTTCATCCTGGGATCTCCAGCTGCTGCCAGACCCTGTAGATTTTGTACTTGTCAAGCCTCCGCAACTGCTTGAACCAATTCCTTAAAATAAATACCTCCCTCTCTCTATGTTTATATAGATACACATCCCATTGGTTCTGTTTCTTTGGAGAACCCTAATACAGGTATTAATGGCTGAGGGTGCCTTGGGGGAGTCATTGCTAGTTTATGGGAACTCCTGGGCTGTACACAAGCACAGAACATTCTGGAGTGTCATGGCCCCACAGACCCATTTTTAGGGTTTATGAGAAGATAACAGAGGCCTTTTTCCAGAGACTAGTAGAAAGTGATTGTCAGAGATAAAAAGCTTTTCTCTAAAAAGACAACAGCCTCAGTGGAAGAAAGGCCAAAAGAGTTTTATGCATCTGAAGAAGTTGCTGGAAATCCCAGAACCATGGACGAGCCACTTGTGGATTTCACTGAAAAAAAATTAAAGCAAAAACCAGAGTCAAATGACCAAGTGACAAAGAGCACTACTTTAAGATGTTAGAAAGCCAAGCCCTTCCTGGACCTGAGACCCAAAGTCTCAGCTATACCAAAGCCGGAGATAGCTACATCAGTTCATTTTTGGTTTTGCTTTTCTGAGGTTTATCATACTGTTAAGTTTGCAATGTTAAAACAGCTTTGTATTTTTAACCACATTTCTAATTTTATTGTTAATCTTTCAATTAAAAAATTATAATGGAAAATGAGCAGTTTATTCATCATTCAGTCTGTTGAATCTAGGAAGAAGTGGGAGGTATTATAGTGATCTCTGGACATGTTCCTGCTGTGGTCATCCTTCATGGGTTCCTAAGAGCTAATCGTGGTCTTTCCTAATATTATTCTAACAGTTTTATAAACACCTACATTTTTGCATGAAACAACATCCTGCTTAATATAACTGGAGAGATTTCTGTTTTCCTGACTGGCTCCTGGCTGATTCAGTATTTGGCACTGCAAGTGCTCCTAGAAAGCAGACATTTAAAGATGAGAAGAATGGGTTGGTTATCTGTGCAGATTAGGTTTGAAGCTAGTGATGGCTTCTTTCTCAAAAGAAAATGGAATATTGACAATGCATGGCCTACCATGGCAAACAGTAGTTTTAAAATGTCACCTGAAGTTGTCTGGAATAAAGAACCTATGAAGGGCAAGGCTTTGGCAGACGACATGGTGACTGCTATAGAATGTCATGGTGGCCACGTGGAGTGAGACTTGTAAGGGTGGGCAGGCTGGCCATTTCTGACTGCACTGGAATAAAAGAAATGAATAATCTCAGGGTACAAGTCAATGATCAGAGAATCAGAGTGCTTCTGTAACTGCCTTAAAATAATTGTTGCTTGTCTTGTAACTTAGTGTGTTACAAAGTTCAATTATGAAATTGCAGATAATAGCACAATGTAATTTACATCCATACCGGGTCTTGTATTAAAGTGAGGACATTGTTTAAGAAAGAGTGAGACACTGAGAATAGGTATGCAGACATTTGGGTAGATTTGGCTGATTCAGAATAGCTTGGCCTCACATCCCAAATCTCTCTGTGCCTACTTTGCCATTAGAAGCAACCTTCTCCACTGCTCTCCGAGGAAACTACTTTCCACTTGCTTAAGGACCTTATAAGGAGATGCTATATCCCCTTAAGACATATTCTCACTACCTCTCATTGTTTTCAGATTCAAAACTAAGTCAGATCCTAGCATGCCCAAGAGGGTTGAGAACAAAGTATGACCCAGGAGGAGAAAGCATACATGCAAGAAAAATTACAAGGTGACAGTCTAGGGAGAAGGTTATGTAATGTTGGATTGGGATGAATGTATCAAGATGCATGTATTTACCAGGTTCTTGATCTAATTTGTTAGCTTGAGCAGCTCAGCATGACTCTGGCAGTTTGCTTTTTTTTGTTTTTTTGACTGAAACTTGGACTCAATGGTGTCCCGAGTGAAATGAAACTCACACATCAGAACTTCCTTGGCATACTGCAGACAAAGAAATCCCAAGGCTTAAAGAGATAGGAATGCTGAAATGGATCTATCATATGCAACCTGCTCACCCAGCCCCTTACAGGAGGGTTCACACAGATATCACTCTTTTATACAAAGTTGAGAAACACTGTACATTGGTGGGAGAAGTACTGGCATTCTTGCAAGACTTTGTGATGGTTGTTTGCTGCAGGCAGGAGTTGATGGGGGGAGAGATTGCCATAGGAAGGGTTTTCTTGATTTCACTGGGAATGATGGGATTCCAGGGAAGCAAATGTCAAGGGCGGTATTTAACCTCCAGGAACAAGTTGTTTGTGGTTACTGAAACTGACAGTAGGACTAGAGTAATCATCAGAATCCTACATTCATCACGGTACCTATGTTTTCTAATTTATCATGGTGTCCCTAGGGGTGAATAGATCACCCTTCTACCTATAAATATTGCATCTAAACTGCAAGTGGAACATGTGTAGGGACTCATTTTGGATTTGAAAAGCCAATCCTTTAGAGTATCCTACGACACCACTGAGCCAGTACTGGGCACACAGATAGGTGTTTATTGATGCTCAGTGCCTTAAACTCTGCAGCATTCATAGATTCAGTTGTTAACTCTTGAAGAGTTCTTAATGGCAATCTCATTCACTTGTTTTTAACTTTTAAAGGTCACAAACCCTTTGAGAATTTGATAAAAGCAATAAAAACATTTTCAAGAGAAATGAACACATGGTTACATAACATTTGTACTCAATTTCTGGGGGTTTGTGTTGTCTCTGCAGCTTCAGATTAAAAGCTCCTGAATACTGACAAGCCAATAGCTAAATAAAACAATGGAAAAATATTATAAACCGATAGAAAAGGAAATACACATGGTAAAAAATATGAAAAGATTTTCACACCCATTAAAAATAAGAGTCATGTAAATTATACTGAGATACAAATTTTCATCAACATTTGGCAATGATTAAATGTTACGTGAAAAACTGTGTTTTCAAGAATATGGGAAACGAGCATGCATACCTTTCTGGTGGAAGTGCAAATTGATTCAACATCTATGAGGGTAATTGGACAAAGCCTATTGTATTTACAAATGCATATGCCCTTTGACCCAGTAATTTTATATCTGTGCTTTAATCTGCAGATATATTTGCAGTGTTTCAAATGATATTTTTACAAGGTCATTCACTGCAGCATTGATGGAGAGAGTCAAAGACTGAAAAAAGCTTAAAAATAAGTTGATTGGGGATTACTTATTAAAAAATAACATTACATCTATACAAATGAATACTACATAGCTGTGGAAAGAACAAGAAAGCTTTATGTACCTATGTGAAATAATTACTAAGCTGCATTGTAAGCGAACATGGCATGGGACACCACATTGTGTAGTAATAGGACACACACACACACACACACACACACACGTTGATGATTAGGCACAATACCACCATTTTTGCTTATGTGTTTCAGAGAGGGGAAGTGACTTGCCTGAACCTACCAACTAACGAGAGGTAGAGCTGGGACTTGAACTGAAGTCCTCTGACTTCAAATTCCTCTTCTTTTTCATTGAATGTCATAGTCCTGTTGAGAGATACCTTGCATAGTTGACTGGGTATGTGGCATGTAGCCTGCTACAAGGTCCCACCCCTTGTTCTGGGTCTTTCTGAGGGAGGCCATGAGGAGTAATAACATCACATGGAAGAGAAAATAAAGCTTTTTATGGCCTGCAAGCAGTTCTAGTCATCATTTGTCTTCCACAAGGAGCAATGGCCATCTGATGGTTAGTTGTAGACCCTTGACCTTGTGGCCAGAGGCCTGATGGGTCAGTATCTGCTAGGAGGATGAGGATAGGACTTCTTTTAGCTTGGGAGATCCATGGGCCTTAGGGAGGAGGGTCTGGTGATCAGTACTTCAGGGTCTGATTCTTGAGCCCTGAGGCCTTAGAGGCAGGTCAGGTGTGGAAGAGTGTGGGACGCAAAGTGAAGGTGCCTTGGTCCTTGGGCCATGGTCATAACCAGGTTCAGCATGGGAGTCTGAGGACAAGTAGGAAAGAATGAAAGAGAGAGAGAGAGAGAGAGAGAGAGAGAGAGAGAGAGAGAGAGAGTTGAGGAGGAAGAGGGCCAGAGCAGAAGGAAAGGGAGAGAGATTACATTAAGTGTGTGTATAATGTTAGGGGCTTCACTGTTAGGAGTGCTCTGCTTCTGGGTTAGGGCAGAAATAAAGCAAACATTCTCCCTAGTACAGAAAGGGGCATATAATCGTTTCACCGTGTGTACAGGATTTTTAGTTACATAATGACTAAAAGCAGATAAAGATCCAGCCAAGAGAATAGCAAAGCATGGACATGATGCTCATAAAAGCCCTTAGCCAGTCTCAGGGCTTGGCTGCCAACCCGCTCTGGGGCGATAGGGGTGGACAGAGCCAGGCATGAGGAGCCCTCCAAGAGCCTGGAGGGGGAGGCAGTGTAGGGGGAAACAGCAAGGAAGGCCAGCCCTTGCCTGCCAAGAACAGCAGGTTGCAATGCTTAATGTCCATGCTCGTGCCAGTGTGCTTAGGAACTGTTGTTATTTTTATGAGAAAAATGCAGAAAGGCTAATCTGTCTATTTATGTCTGTCTGGAAACATGTAATTACCGAAGGGTTGTTCTGGTGCCAGGATCCAGTCGTGGCTCTTCCTCTCCCATGCTGTCTTTGGGAGGCTGGGCCTGATGCCCCAGCTCAGGAATCTGCCAAGGGTTTTGAGCACCAGTGGGATGAGCAGACAGAAGGAAGGGTACCTGGGAAAACCATGAAAATTGGGTCCATTGCTTTTATCCACCTTAGCTTTTTGGCAAGTAGTAATTTGAAGATAATGTTCATTGAATCTATGACTGCTGTGAAATGCAGAGTCTATCATCCATCCATTCATCCATCCATCTATCCATCCATCCATCCATCCATCCATCCTTTGAACAAACATTCCATGCTAGTCACTTTACTGGGCTCTGGAAATACAAAGATAAATAAGACATAGTCTTTCCACTCGAAAGACCTAAGGTGTGGAGGAAGATAGAACTACCAGCCATTAAGCACAATGCTATGAGAACCTTCTCGCAGGTACAGTGGGGCAAGGAAAGAGCTGGGAAGTCAGAAAAATCTCTAGAGAGCAGGTGACTTTGACTTAGATTCTGAAAGCTGAGGGCATTTTTGCCTTATAGCCCCAGAAAGCTCCTGTAACCTCTCCAGGAGTCCAGAGGATGTCCTAGGGTGGCCTCTACCCTCTATGAGTAGATCTTGAAATGTAACATGCTTGGCAAGAGTTGGGGTGGAGTGCTAAGGCAACAGTGATTCTCCACCTGGTGTGGGGTGCTCTTGGTGACCTGACCCCAGGCTACTATGTCCACTTTGCCCCCCTGCTTCTCCCACACTGGGTCCTGTCACACTCTTCCCTGAGCGCACCAGGTTCCTGCCTCCTTGCCTTTGACCCTTTGAGGTTTGGCTTGGTACCTAGGGTGTTGCTCTGCTGGGGGACTGAGTGAGAAGGGACGCGCCGAGTAGTGAGAAGACCCATCTGAGTGCAGCAGTGAGTGTATTGAGGAGCTGCGTGTGGCCAGGCCAGAGGCCATGGGGGCAGTTGCAGGTGGGAAGGTGGTGTTTGGAAAGGGATGAAGCCGGCCTAGGGCTTATTGATTGAAGGAAGATGGTGGCAGGCATGTCACCCACCTTCCATACCCTAGTCCTGAAGTCCATTGCGCAGTTGAGGGCATCATTGTCTACGGGAAGATAGGTCAGTCAAGGTCATATAAGTCTCTGCCTTCCATATTCTGGGGATTTCTAAATCTGTAGTTGTGATATTCCCCAAGTTTCAGAGGCATTGGTTTTTCACAGTGTCCCTCCCTAGTTAATTCCTGGGTAGCATGGGATGTGCTTCAGGAGGGGAAGGCGCTGGCTGGGAAGGGCAGCTGACTCTCCAGCTGGGGCCAGCTGGGCTCCAGCCATCAGCCCTAGGCCTGGCCCCTGCATCTAATCACAGCTTCATCACCAGGCCAACAGGGGCTGTGTTGTCCAGAGCTGCAGATGGCTTGTGATGTCACCCTTGCAGATGTGGTGGTGAGGTGGCCATGGACATTCTTGGTGCTGTATTGGCACTGAGCTGGGAGGCAGGATGGAGCCCATGAGCAAGACAGGGAAGGTTCTCTGCTAAGCAGGTGGAGTAGACTGTGTGTGTGGAGGGCCGGGCTGGAATTTGAGAGTCCAGAGACTCCTTAGTGCTCCCTAGCACAGGAGCCCTGCTTGGTTCACTTCCTTTCTGCTTTTTGAGCCTCATCCTCAACTCTTCCTCCTCCTGGGCTCTGCCTTCCCAAATGGTGCTGGAGACCAGGCCCACACTCCTGCACACCTTGGCCTGCGCTGTCCTCTCTCAGAGTACTCTTGCCACCACTCTCTGCCCGCAGGACTCCCCTTCCTCCTGCTCAGAGGTTTGTTGCTGTCTGGGGCTGCCCCACCTCTGAGCTTGGTTGCTGTGGTTAACATCTCTCCCATGGGGCTCACTTTACTGCAATTATGAGGACCTCATCACATCCCCAGACTGAGAACTCCTTGTAGGCAAGTCTTGGGCCTTATTCACCTTGGTATTTCCAGGTCACACAGGGTTCCCAGAGAATGTATTGAGTAAACGAGGGAAAGCAACTGCCACGGTCACGGTGCTTTTGTGTCCCTGCTCTGGGCTTCCTCCAGCCTTGCCCTTTCCCAGGGGACAAGGGACCAAAACCACATTCCCAACTGGAGTCTGACCCTAGGTTTCTCCACTGTACTCCTGGTACCAGGGACCCTGGACTCCTCTGCTCCAATGTCTCTGAGGCCTGCGTGGAGTCTCATTGGGGTCTTTCCTGAGCCACCCATGAGGGCATTTCTAAGTCTGAGGGGTGGCAGCATGTGAACTGGGCTTGAATGTATGGGCTTAAGGAGGGGTCTATAGACTTACATACGAGGCCCTTCATGGTGTGGGACTCCACCAGAATGGGAGATAGGAAAAGGACAGGTGGGTCACAGACTTTCACCTGTCCTCTTGCTCTAGGCCCTGAATGAATGAATTCATTCTTAGTGGAGCTGTGTCTCTGGGGATCTGAAAGTGAGCGCTGGACTTAGGGGTGGCTTCAAGGCGGGGGTGGATAAATGGATGGGAAGTAGTGTCATCTGGGGCAGACAAGCCTTGATCTTCTGGTCTATTGAGTCTTCAGCTTTAAGCATTCTCACACTCATAGGTAATCTTTATTAATCACCATCCCATGGTTTAAAGCATTAATATGTTTTCATCTTCACGATGGCCCTGGGGGTGGGTACTAATTTTGTGCCCAGTTGACAGAAGAACTGAGGCTCAGGATTACAAGTAAGACCTCCATCTATCTGACGCTGACTTCGTCTACTCTGTGCATGGCCTGTTAGAGGAAAGCCTGCGGTGGCTGCCCTCAGCATTGCAGTGCCTCTGAGCCCAGCAGTGGCCCAGGAGCAGGAAAGTCTGAGGCTTGACTGAGAGCTGGTTTTGGGGGCCCTTAGTCTTCAGAGGGAGGGTAAATGTCCACCATCCCTGAGGCTGGAGGACTTGGGGGCCATGGGTGGGGGCGGGGGTGCGTTCTGGCTGGGGCAGGAGTGAGGCAGGATACCGGGCCTGGTGTGGATCTGCAACCGGAATCTTTGGGAGTTGAGAGCTTTTTGTTTGTTCAGCTCATCTCACCTGGAGAGTCAGAATGGAGAGTGTTTTTTGCCCCTTAGGCTTAAGGTGGGAACTTTGGATTCTCTCTACATGGGGATGTTCAGAAGCCCAGGATTTTTGCTGCACCAAGGAAGACTTCATAGTAATAATAATTATTAGGGTGAATATTTTATTATTATTATTTTACAATGGCCACTTAGCCTGATTTAGCCTGACTCCTAGGTTTTTGGACCCAGGATATATGGATGCTAGTCTAGTATGCTTCTGAATATCAGAGACATTTCCCACATTCTGCATGCTTGGAGAGTTCACTCCTGTTGGGGCTCAGGGATGTATTGAGAACAAGGAGAGATAGTCTAGGGAAGTGGCAGGTTTTGATGCTTCAATCTGCTACTTATTCTCTGACTATCAATGCTGTCTTGGCCTGGGCACTCAATCTCTTGAAGCCTCAGTTTTCTTATCTGCTAAAGAACAATTCTTTCTGGAGGGGCTGTTGTTAGGCTTAAATGATGGCACGTGATTGGTGCAACTTACTGTTAGTTATTCTCATTGTCTGGGACAGTTTCTTGAGCTGTTAAGGGGAAATTGTCCTTAGACGTCAGGCCATCTTCTCCCGTGTAGGGTTGGGGTTTTCTCTTTCAGAGGCACTTGCATGTGGTGGAGTTTGGGAACAGAACAGGGTGATCCTGCCTGCTGATCCATCTTCAATGCTTGTTCCGTGAAGGAGAAGGGAGCTTGTGAGAGAGTGGCGGTGACATCACAAGACACTGGCTGGAGGTATCGTGGAAAAGCTTACATTTTGTTGGGGAGAAAGAGAGCGGGCGCAGCACTAAGCTTGCCTAATAACTCTTCTGATCTTGGGGGCTGTTATTCGTTATGTACTTTTTTTCTCCTTAGAGAGGAAAAGGATGCTGAAGGTGCCAGAGCACTGTCGTGGGCAGGCAGAGATTTACTGCCCTCACTGTTTTCTGGGTTTCCCCCAGTCCTTGTCCAGCCTCTGAGAGCCACATGGGGCCTGCCAAGCCTCCTGCAGTCAGTGGGTTCAGGCAGGGTGGAGGCAACCCTTTCAGGTTTCAGCAGGCACAGGCCAGTGTTTTTGACCATCTTTTCCCCAAGCTCTGTTTAAATATCCACCGAGCTCAGCTGGCCTGGCCTTCGGAACCAGCCATTGTGCTCTTGGTGACTCACTCACACCAAACCTCCCCTGGAAATTCTGGATGAAGTGGGTTCCAGGGACATTTTCAATTTTATTTCCACTGGTAAAACATTTGGTGTTTGCCTCATGCTTCCCTCAAATCCCTGGCTCTCCAGTGGAAACTGCCTCCTGCTAGCAGGGGGTGTGCGGGGGCAGGACTTCTCTCCCTCCCCACACTGGCTCCCATGAACCTAAAGACCAGGAATTCTCTGATGGCTGGGAACTCAATCTCTCAGAGTCACAGTTTTCTCATCTGTTAAATGGGAATTCTTCCTAGGGGGCATTATTGTGGGCTGTGTCTGATTTGTTCCTTTACCCCAGCACTTGGCAGGGTGTACCAGGGCCTTGTCTCTTGTCCCTGGAGTGCTTGCCATCTTTTCCACTCAACATCTCACTTGGGTTTACACAACTTGCAGGAAAGGCAGGCTGGGGCCAGCACTGAGTCTCTGGACTCACCTCCTGCTGGGAACCCTCTTTTCTGGTCCTTTCTTCTCCCTCACTCCTCTGACCTTGGCTCCTGTAGCATCTCTTCCACTGACCCCTCCAAGGCCTTGTCCACTGGTCCCTCCAGGGTCTCTTCCACTGGTCCCTCTAGGCAGCTGCTTTGTGAAGCTCTCCTAACCCAAGCCCAGCCTTGGGTGTCTCTGCCTCAACTCCCCTCCATTAGCCTGAGGATTTCCTGTGTCCAGGGCCCAATCTGATCAGTTCCTTTCTCCCTAGCCCTTTGGTCTTGAAGATCCTTCTTTTTCCAGGTCCCTTTTTAAAAATAAGGCCCTAAGAGAGAAGAGAGTATGAGTGTGAGAATAAAGTTGGGCAAATCCCCGGAGAGCGGGTGGGGAAGGGGCTGCCAGCTTTGTGTTGACTGATAGAAAGTCCTTCTTTCTGCCAAGCAGATGTCTGACTCCAGGAAGCATCCGCTAGTGGCCCTGGATCTGTCCTCCGAGGCTCTGAACAAATGTCATCTCTTATTCTACACAAGCAGTTGTCAGCTGGAGCTCCAGTTCCCTGGGGGACAGTCCAGGGGAAAGCTCTTTTTGGGAGGCTGAGAAGTAGCAGGCTTGCTGTTCCTGGGGTCCCCTCTGGCTGGTCCACAAGGGCCCTCTTCACGCTCCTCACGTGACCTCCCTTAGTGCAGGGTTGAAGGAGCAGCTGGCTCCTAGACACCAGCTTCCAGCCTTCTGTGGCATTGCTGTAATTATCTCACTCCCACTTAATCTCTACAGCACCCTCATGAGGTTGAGGACACCTTGGCCCAAGGGCAGGCCAGTGACTGATCCAAGGCTACAGAGGCAGGGAGTGGGGAAGCCATCCCAGCACTCTACTCTGCATTCTTAGCCCAGGGTGCTTGTTTTTCTTCCTCCTCCTCACAACATACCTCCCCTACTAGATTTACCCAGAGGCTGTGGGAGAGTGGGGGCCCTAGAAGATGAACCCCCTTGCTGCCAGGCCCTGACCATGTCTGCCTCCACCTTCTCTTCCCTTGAACTTCCTTTCTGACCCTCATCTCTCCTTAGACTCCGGTTTCGTGTTTGTCTCTTCCACATCACTTTATCAGGTTTCAAGGTCTGGAAAGAGCAACACAGTGAGTAAGTTGTCTGGCAGTGCTGTGGCACTTGTGTGACCCAATCCAGATGCCCTCCTCCCGGCTTGAGTCCCCATCCCCACCTGCCCACATTCTGAGTGCTTGAAATCAGTGTGGGTCCTGGCGGCATCTCCTGTGACCTCTTTTGCTTTGCAGGAGGCTTGGGGAGACCACATCACAGGGGATGGGGCTGAGAGCTTGTGGCCTCCCCAGCATCCTCTGTCTTAGGTCACTCTGTCCTCCCTAAGCCCCTTTTTCTCAGGAAGCTCCTGTTAATATGTTCCATTTCTTATATCAAGCAACTGTCCTACAAACAGCGTTGTTGGTAATTCATGGGAACGACTGTTATTTTTGGAGGCTGGAACTTACGAAGGCTAGCCTAACACCAGCTGCTTTCTTTTTTTTTTTTTTTTTTTCTTTTTCAGCTTTCCTCATATTATTATAAAAATTACAGAAAAATATTTGGCTCATCATGTTCAACAATATATGTGGCTGATTCCCTGTCATTGTGTTAATCCTAGAAAAATAAACGTTTTGGCATCTTGCAGATTTTCCCCGGGTGGAGGGGAACGTGGTCTCCTCTGTGTATTGAAGGCCGTTAAATGTCTTTCTCCATAGCGCTGTGCCTAGGAAGATGCAGGGGGTTTAATTGGACTGGGTCGGCATTAAACATTGCAGTGTCTTGGTTATGGCTGAGGGTCGGGTTAGTTAGAAGCTGTACATAATCCTTGGGGATCTGGGCACCGGGAAATGATGGCCTTGAAGACCCAGGTTCAAGGCTGGAATAGGGAACTCAGTTGAGGTGGGGAATGCAACCAGACTTATTTGAATGGGAGGAGAGGAGTCTAGATGCGCTTCTGAAGATGCAAGGAAGGTTAGTGATAACAAGATCCCTGGAGGGCAGTTCACCTGATACAGGCCATGATATGGTGATTTTTGCTGAAACTTTGAAGCAGTCTCACATTCTTTCTTTGATCAGGGCTGTGAGATAGGCAGAGCAGGTGCGACCATGTCCATTTTATGGATGAGAAATGGAGGCTGAGGAAGGAAGAATCACTGGCCTAAAGCCACAAAGGGACTTGGAAGTCAAGTAAGGAAGGAAGTGAAGCCTCGTGATTTTGAGGCCAGCCTTCTTCCCTCCTCACATCCTCTACCATTTATCTGTATGCTTGGCCATTCATACCCCATTAAGGGAGTATGTTACCCCATTTTCTCTACTGTTGGAGGCACAAGCAGATAGCTGTGTCCTGGTGCGGTTAAAGCAGGTACTAGTCTTCTTTTAGCATCTGCCCTGCCCACTCATGAACTAGCACCTTCTTTAAATGACAGGTGCCCCCAACTGCCAAAGCCTGGGCTGCCCCCAGCTACCCCTGGACTTGGTGGGAGCTTGGCCCTTTGAAACCTACAGCCCAGCCTTCTTTCAGCACAGCCCAGAAACATAACTCTTATTTCTGGCTTGTGGGTCTGTCCCTTTGAAGGCAAAATTGCTGTTTCCCTCCTCGAGGATCAGCTGAACCAAAGCTGTATTTCAGTTTATTGACTTGGCTTGAACAGAAAACCACAGGTGGGGAAAACACAACCTTCCCGGCTCAGGGCCCATTCCTTTGGGAAAATGGGGAAGGAAAAACTGGCCTTTTCATGGCCACCATCCTTCTGCCATGAAGGAAGTTATTGCCAGGTCTGAAAACTGACCCAGACTTTCCTTGGAGCCATTTGTGGCTCACAAAATTGCAAGAGTTTCCTTCAATTGGTTGTAATGTTCCTTGGAATTTACAGTCTGAGATGTTCCCTAGGGCACTGTTCTCTTGCAGGATCCCCACATGTGATCCTCACATTGTTCAGGGGAGCAGGGCCAGGGAGAGGCAAGGATGGGCATATCGGGCCTCTCTCCAGTTATCTGTGGGATTGTGCAGGGGTCTTCACCGTGTGTTCTCAATGCTCTGGGAGTTTTGAACTTGGCTTCTAATTCAGTTGGCCATTTCCAAATTATTTTGTTTCTGTGGCAATAGGCAGAGCTCATTCACTGAGTTAGAAGGAGGCTTAATGGCGGGGAGTGATGAATGCTTTGGGAGCATCCATTTGTTTTTCATCCATCTCTCAGTCATTTACCTCTGAATTCGTTCACTGTGTTCTTTCATTCCTTTTCCTTCCTTTCCTCTTTCCCTCCTTCCTTTAATCATCCATCTATGCATGCATATATTCATCTCCTACCCATCCATCCCGCCATGCATCCAATCTCCACTTTTAAGAGCTATTTCCAACCAGTTGGCACAGATACACACTAATTTACAGAATATGTGTACTCAACAATATCTATTACTTAAACCACTTCAAAATATGTAACCTTTATTTTCTTACTCTTTAGGTCACATTTTTCTGGAGCATAAATTTTAACCCAGAAATGAATTGATCAGATTTTCCTTTGTCATTAAGAAGGCCATTTTGAAATATCATTTTATAAGAAGGCCATTTTGAAATGTCACTAAGAAAGCCTTACACACGGTTCTTGGCTGACAATCATTTATACTTTACAAGTGTTTTGTTCTTCCTTCTGAATTCTAAGCATGGCTGCAGGGCCTTGGCCTGACTCTCCAGTCTGATGACTATCAGTCCCCAAAACATGCTCCAAGTTCTTGTCATAATGTTTTACTTCTGGCCCCCAGGACACCATATACCCTTTCATGCCTTCATACCTTTACATATGCTGTGCCCACTACCTGGAATGCCCTCACTCATCTATTCACATGCTGAGCTCCTTGCCACCCTTCAGACATCATCTTGGATGCCACTCCTCTGTGAAGCCTTCCTTGTACCTCCAGGCAGTGTGAGAGTCGCTTTTGTGTTCTTATTGCTCCTGTTACATTGCATTCATTTATCTGTGAGCTTCTTGAGGGTAGGAATTGGGTCTTGGTCTTTTTCTTATCTCTTCCGTTAAGAATAAATCTGTACAGACTGAAAGCAAGTCAATTTTAATGGAGACTGGGAAGATAATGGATCTCAATAAAAATTTTATTCTTAAATCCAACAAACATGCTTTATGCAGAATGTTGCTTTGAGTCTGATGTTACCTGGCAAGTATTCCAAGTGTGAGTGGGTACCTCGTGGATCCTGGGAAGGCTGTGAGGCCAAGGCCTCTCTCTTTACTTAAGGAATTTACTGCCAGGGAATTGAAGCTGTGGCTGACAGAAGTGCCGGTGCTTCTGAATTGTAGCCGACAGTTTAAATGCACAGCAAATGCACTAAGAACAGCATCTAAAATTTCCTGATTTTGAGGATGATAAAAGCCAAAGAAAAGCCATCAAAATAGCCTTGGCTTACCCCACACTTCCTTTACTCAAGGCGACGCCTTTGCACTAAACCACTCTGAATGAGCTGGGGACCTGGCAGGAACAGACGGAAGTAACCGTGGAGAGTTTAATGGAGGGGGGGGGCCTATTTTCAAAGTGTGAGAAGAGCAAGGGCCATGAGCAAGGGATGGTGAAGCCCTCTGGGGGCGGTGGGTGGTAGGGGCGGACAGTTGCAGCCACCGTACCTGTACTTGCAGCTGTGGGGCTCAGGAGAGGCTGCCTGAGAGGAGCTGGGCAAGTAGCCTGGTCTTATTCACCTCCTGCCCTCTGCTATAGTGCCAGTACCTTCCACTGGCCAGACCCAGCTGGAGGACAAAGGGCAAGGAAGCCCATTCTTCCAGCCCCAGGTTGGCCTCCAGGCCAGAGAACAGTGGAGGGTGGGTCCAAGGGGTAAACAAAGCATCCAGCATGAGCTCTCTGTACATGGGCAGTGCCCACCTGGCCATCTGCCCATCAGCATGCCATCTGCAATGAGCAGACTTACTCCCAAGCACCACCTGTGCCCTACAGGGGCCTTCGGTACAGGGTTTGCTTTTATGGGTCCATGTAGGGCTTTGAGGATGGGCTGTTGTATAGTCTGGTAGAGGTTAGTAACTTCCCAGGAGGACACATTGCTTGACTGGCTGGGTAGCACCCATAGGAACTGTGATTTTTTACTCTTTGCCTTTTCCGGGAGATGCAGCCAGGGAGCTTTAGCCTCAGGAGTCAGGAGGGGCAGGGATGGTAGGAGCAGACAGCTTGGCCAGAGATGGAGGCCAAGGGATTCTCTTCGTAGAAACTCTTTGGCATGCTCAGTAACCTCCAGGAATGTACGAATTGCAGGAGAATGACCTGCTCTCAGCCTGGATGTGTGGGGGCTGAGAGGAAAGAAGCTGCATGGTTTAGTTAAGGCATAGAAGTTTTGGGATTAGATAGACATGAGCTTAAATCTTGGCTCCAATGTTTAACTTTGTACAAGTTGCTTAACCTTTCTGAGCCTCAGTTTCCACAGCTTTAAAACAGGGATGACAATTCTGACTCTGCAGGCTTATGGTAGGGCCTAGAGAAATACATGCACAATGACTATTCAGTGCCTGACATGTGGATTTCTATTAAATATTAAACACTCATTCAAGCAAAGCTGACTACCTAATCTTGTGCCTACTTTGATCAACGATCTCTGAAACATCCTTGCTTTTGGCGTCCCCTAGGTGAACGACCTCGGGAGAAACTAAGGCAGCTCAGGAGTTATAACAATGTTTAGGCCCAAAAATGGACTTGTTTTTAACTTTCCCACAAGGCACACTTACTAGAAAAAGTTGCGGAAAATTCGATGCTTGGTTTACAGTCCCAAGAACATGAAAAAGCTCTTCTGCCAGTTAAAAAAAAAAGATGGATGTTGTTTCTTGGAGAAGGAATGTCGTACAGTGGCTCAGGAGGAGACGGTGAGTCAGACGTGCTGAGAGCCGGGCCAGGCTGTCCCCTTGGTCTGGCCTCTGTGAGTCAGCACTGCCCACGAGACCCAGCGGGCAGCATGCCCAGAGGGCTGCAGAGCCAGGTGTGGTCCCTGGCGCGTGCAACAGCAGCTGGATGGTCCTATCACCCTCTCCTAGGACATCAGAGAATGTGTTCCTATGTCAGTATTGTCAGCTGTGGCCAACTTGGGCAGTTGCCGATAGGATCATGCCCCTCCTTTCTTTTTTTCTATATAGGGTCCTATTTCTAGATCAAACTCTCAACTTTCCTGTCCTACTTTAACTGCACATTCCTACAGCCAGCCCAGAAGTTTTTCTCCCACTTTTTGTCTTTGGGGACCTGTTGGTGGTGGCATTTGGTCTAGCAGAGGTCGGGCGGAAGAGAATGTTCTATTTTGGGGGCTTGAATGGTGAACAGTGAATGTACCTGCAGGAGAGCCTTCCAGCTGCCCCAAGGGTTCCAGACTGTAGAAAATCAGAATGCAGAAAGCCAGACATTGAAGTGATGAGAGGGAGAATGCCATGATGGTTGACAAGATGTCTGGGAAGGCTTCACAGGGGAGCGTCTTCCCAAGTAGGCTGTGGGAGGTGGACGCAGCAGGGAGGGCAGGCTATTAGGGGATCTGGTTCCAGGCCAGACTTAATGGCTGTGTGGCTTGAATATGGAGGTTGACCTCTCTGACCCTGGTGCTCCTCATCTGCAAAACGGGGTCAATAGTTCTTACCTCGCAAGGTTTTGCGAGCATCACCTTCAATAAAATAGTTTATGTAAAAGTACATTGTGATCTACAAATTTAAAAAATAAATGTTGGATGTTACTACTACCAGATAAGAAAGAAAAGATCAGAGAATAAGTGGCTTGCCAGAGGTCACATGGCTGGTATAGTGACAGCCAGGACCCAAACAGAAGTCTCTCCTTTCCTTTGTTCTGTGTTGTTTCAGTTTTTTTCCATCTGCGTGGAAGTCACTCACAGAATGTTTTAATTAGCTGGTGGCTTGGCTCAGGGTGTGGGTCTTTGTGGGTTAACTGGGTATGTTAGCCTCTCTGGCATGCAGCTTCTAGAAGTGGGCAGGTGTTAGCATGGCCTTCGAGAGGCCTGTCATGGGCAGGGGGTGCTGTGGCTCTGGGAAGAACTGTACTCCAGAGGTAGATTTCAGCTGCGAGTGCTGACTTGCCCCTTTCCAGCACCCCGCAGCTGGGATCTCCTGGTGGAGCTGGGATCTGGGGTTGGCCATGTCTGCCTAAGGGCAGGTTTGGAATCTGTTTCATGAAAACTCCCAGCATGGAGTGGTGGTCCTGATGGCAGCGGCAGGCTCATCCATTTGCATAGCATCAAATGGAAATGTCTAGATGAGCTGCCAGGAACCCTGGGGGCTGGTTGTCCCCTGGAGGCATGCTGCTGGATGGGCAGAAGGTTCATAGAGTGTGCTCCTGCCTGGTTCATTGCAGTCCTCCGAGTCAGGTGAGAGCACTTATATTTCCATAAGTACTGGAGGTAAACAACCTGGGACAGGGACTGGGGTTTGGGGAGGAGCAAGCCACCAGGCTTTCTCTAGGCCTGAGTGAGGCAGTGTGCCTTTTTCCCAGGATAGAGACAAGCTTCTGTCCTCGGACAATGCACAACCTCCTTTATACCAAAGGCTATTCCCTGGTCTTGCCTCCAGGCTTTTGCACTGCAGGGAGCCCGTCTTTGGGCTGCCCTCTGCACCCCTTCCCTATCCAGATCCTGTGTAGTGAAGGAGCGTGGGCTCTGGAATGAGATGCACTTGGGTTCAAATCCTATCTTTGACATTAACAGACCAGACAACCAGAGAACTTATCTCGACCTCAATTTCCTTATCAGTAAAATGGAATTTATACTTCCTATCTTCTAGGGTTTTAGTAAGGATGAGAGATAATGCATTTATATTGCCCAGTGCCCAGTAGATGCACAATAAACAGTCGCTGTCACCTTTGTCATTCAAGGTCCAGCCCCAGCGTTGCCTCCTCATGAACTCATCCGAGACTGGCTCCACCACCTCCCTTTCTCTGACCTGGATTCCCTGTTCCAGGGCTGCAGGACCTCTATCCTGGCCACACCTTATTGCTACTATTCCTAACTCCTCTCCCTTGTCCCTCCCCCGGAGCCTTCTTCCCTTCCATCATAGCACCCATTATGCTGTTTTGGACTCTTCGGCTTTTGTACAAGTGCTGGAGTGACTTTTATTCATGCCAGTTGGGGAAGCTCTGTGGGTCAGGAGGGGCCCAGTCAATGGCTCCCTGCTCTGCTGTAAAACTGTGTTCCTTATGGAGCTGAGCTTCTGACCAGCATCCAGGTCATTTAGGATTGCAGAACCCAGGTGGTCAGAGCAGGGCCACTTCAGAATCTGGCTGATCCTTTTCCTCAGGACCTTCAGAGGAAGAGAGAGAGATTGAGGTCCCTGCACCCATTTCAAACAGGACACTTGGTGTGACTGAAGAAAGGGACCCACTAAACCAGGGCTTAGAGCATGTAACAACTCATTGTGGGTTAGCATAGAGCCAGGGCTAGAACCTAGCTCAAATAGTATCACCCCTTAATCCCCAGTCCTTTCATTCTTGTGAGATTCCCTTTCCAGTAAATGTGAGTTGAATGCACAGATGTACAGATGAACAGTTGCATGGATGGAGCTTCCAGGGAGACATAGATTGGGAGTCAAGTAGGCCTGGGTGCTTAGAGACAGAGTGATTCCACTTGGCCATACATGGAGACCCCATAATCTATCCTCACACTGTTTCAACTCAGTTCCATGAACAATCCAGTGGGATGGGGTGGGGCAGGGGTTTGCAGCCAGAGAAGTAAGGTGGTTGGATCCATGTTTCAGAAGCATCCCTTTGGCCAGGCTGGAGCAGGTGGGTTGGAGTAGCAAGGAGGAAGGGACTCTTGAAGGAACATGGAGGAGGGAGGATGCAGCCTGGGTTGTTCCATGCACTTCCGGATGTTGCTGGCTGGCCCCTGAAGAGTGGAAGCCTTAGTCAGGCCTGCCTGTGCTGCCTTCAGGTGAGATGTTATCAGCGTTGCATTGAAGGCTGGGTCTTGTTTCCAGAGGCAGGAACACAGTCAAGGCCAACACTCTGTTACCAACTGGGAGTTTGGCATTGCTGCCCCTGTACCACAGTGGAGCCTTCAGCCTTTCCCACTGCCTCTGCTCCTTCCGAGGGCTGAGCTTGATCTGCGGGACTGCTCCATTCCATGATCAAATGAAATGTCTCTCTGATGATTCTGAAACAGAGCTTAGGTGTGGGAGCCTGAGGCCAAAGGCCTCCATTCTACCCCGATGGGCTGGAAGATCTAGAGTCTAGTTTCCTCACCTGCAAAACTCGTGGAGATCTGGACTCAATCAAATAGACATGCATCAAAGCAGGCTATCTATGAGTCACAGTGGGGCCTATGAAGGTGTAAAGGATGGTAGTAACTCTCAAAGACGTTTTGGTCTGATGGAGCAGATTTAAACAGAACACAGATTTCTATGGTACAAGGCAGAATTGCATCACAGCCTGCCAGAGATGTAGAAATGTAGCATTATGGGTTCTCAGACAGGGGAGATCACACCCTGCTGAGCTAACCAAGGAATGCTTCCTAGAGGAGATAGCATCAGGAGGTGAACTGATTGCAGCAGACAAGGGGACCTGTAATTCAGGCAGAGTGCCTACCGTGAACTGAAGTAGGTGTGTGTGTGGTGGGGAGACGAGAACAGGGTATGTATGTACTTTCAGCTACCTGATCCCACACACCATTTGTAAACCAGCTACAGTTTATTGGAAGCTTACTAGGAAGAGGTAATGACTCTACAAGGCATTCATAGCATTGCTTGTGTTTTACAGACAAGGAAACTGAGATCAAATGAGTTTAACTTGTTCAGCATACCATGATTGCTAATCTGCAAAACTTGGATTCTAACCCAAGTCAATGTGATTCAAAGTCTGTCTCCTTAACCACTCTGCCCAACGTTCCTTACAACTTTAAAATTCTTGCTTGTTTTATCCTTTCTGCATCCAAGGTCCTCTGTGACTTGGTCCTCGCCAGCTTTCCAAGATGCCCTCATTTGCTTTGCTACACACACATTCTGTTCCTGCACAACATCTGTGATCTCCCTTCAGATTTTTGCACATCCCTGGGGCAAAACACATGGACCTGAGGAAGAGCTGAAGTCAAAGGGACACATGTGCTCATATTGTGCATTGGCTGGACGTCCAGCTCCCACGAGATGGCTGGGCCCTGCACTTCTCTGTGGGCATCCCCCACCCTTACCCCCTATCTAGGCTGGACAGGCATTCAGAGCCTGTCATGGATGGGTTGGATTGATGGGTTAAAGATGCTATTTCTGACAGTGGTGTTCTGGCCATGTCTATAGTTCTGCCCTGACCTGGAGCTGGGAGCACAGTAAGAACTAGGTTGGTGAGTGTTGAGTGAATGAATGAGGGGTAACTTGACTGCCCACCATTGCTCCTTCAGCAGGGTTACTGTACTGGAAACAGGTAAGTCTTCCCTCTGCTGCCTTTCTTTATAGCAAGTTCCATGTGTTCAGTTGGTGTCATATTTCCTAGGACAGCTGGGGATCCCCTGAAATGATATTCTCCTTCAGTAATACAGTTTAATTAATTAATGAATCAACCACCCAATTAATCCAATAGATAAGTATCAACACCTACCATGTGCCCATCACTCTTTTATCCACTCCATGGTGGATACATCCTTGCCCTCATAGGGCTTACATTCCAGTAAAGTTAAGACCCATTTATTATAGATGCTCCATGGATCCATAAATGTCTGTTGGCTGATTTATCCTTATGTAATGTGTTAAGCTAGAAAATATTTAAATTTCTATTGTACTCATAAGCTTTGAACCACCTGATTACTGGTCCATTTTAGAGAGAACATTTACCCAAGTACTAAATCATCAAAAATTTGCAGGGAGACAGTTTTCTGATTCAGAAATCCTGGGCCCTCCCCTAACATCTGTGATTCATGCCGCTTGTTCCATGTAAAGCAGGGATTCCTGCTGAAGATTGCAGGATGGTTAAACTTGGCACCAATTGATGTACATGTTAGGGCTAAAACCTCAATACCGCAAGGCCATAGCAGGGAAAATCCATTAGCATATTCATGATTCCTGTGCCTTCTATTTATAGGTCTATTGTCAAAGCCAATGATTTTTCAGCTTTCACGGGACTTCCTCACTTACCAAGGATTTCTGCTGTAAAATAAGAATGTGTGAAATCCAAACATATTCTCGTTATACTTAGACACTCATATCTCCAGAAACCGTAGGCATTTCTAAAGTCTGAAAAAGATTACTGGGAAACAGAAACCCACATTCACGACTTGCTCATCGTTCTTCTCTACGTTTCACAATTGTTTGGTCTTTAACCAAGCAGTACAGAGGTGTGGCTACGAAATCAGAAATCGACTTTTCATGTGTGGTTTGGATAAACTTCCTTCTGGTGTAAAGTCATTATATTTTTAATTTAATTGTCCCTCTAGGCAGCTAAGAGGTGGCGAAGGCATGCGGGTTTCACATGGTCTAGTTGGCTTTGTCCTCTGGCAAGTGTGAAGTTGAGGCTAAGGGACGGCTTTGGACCCTGGCAGCAGTCAGGGGTCTGAATATCAAGGTGCTTTCCGCTTCTTGATGTGAGCTGTGAAATATTTCGTGGGGCTTTATATATACCATTGGGGGCCCTTTTCTAAAAGAACAAAAACATCCTCTCTTCCCCCCCTCATTTTACTAGTTGGGGTCTGCCTGTATTGGATTGCACATGCCCACCCAGGTGCTGGGCAGCTTGCTCAGAGTGGGGTCTCAACTCCCACCCTGGCTGTTGGCTAGAAGCGAATCTGGATTTCTTGTTCTTTCTCTGAGTGGGGCTCCAACATTTTGCAGCTGACGTGTTTGGAGTAAAAATGTTTACAGGCCCGGAGGAACATTAGCAACATTGCAAATGCTTTTTATTAAGACAAAAAAATGAAGCTGAATTATAATTGTGTGAATAGAAGAGAGTGTGAAAGTCTTTTATCCCTGGGGTCTTGAGGACTCAGATCTTTCTGTTTTGCTTTCTATATATATGGCTGGAAGCGGGAGCTTAGTTCCTATTTAGGGAAATTGCTGATGCTAATACAATTTGATGTTTATGAGCATCAGAACCATAAAATAGATACAAAAGAAATTCTTTGGGTGTTTTGCAGAGAAGATAGTCCAGAGATGATGAAAAAGACTTCTTGGAGGAAGCTTTTGATGGGTTTGGAGGATGAATAAGAGCTCAGCAAAAGGCAAAGGGAGATGGCTTTGATGGAGGAAGAGAATTCCTGGTAAAAGGACTAGGAAGAAAGTCTGATGGGGCTGTAGTACAGTGTATATGCTGGGGAGCAAGCGGGTCTCCAGCGTATGAAAAAGTGGGTTGAGCTAAGACTGTAGAGAGTTTTACTAATGAGTGTATATGAAATTTGTAATGGCAATGGAGAGTCTTTGGGCTTTTATTTGAGAGCCTAGGTTTTTTTTTTTTTTTTGGGATGGAGTCTCGCTCCGTCACCCAGGGTGCAGTATAATGGCGCAGTGTCGGCTCACTGCAACCTCCGCCTCAAGGGTTCAAGCGATTCTCCTGCCTCTGCCTCCCGAGTAGCTGGGATTACAGGCGCCCACCACCATGCCTGGCTAATTTTTGTATTTTTAGTAGAGATGGGGTTTCACCATGTTGGCCAGGCTGGTCTCTAACTCCTGACCTCATGATCCGCCCACTTCCACCTCCCAAAGTGCTGGGATTACAGGCATGAGCCATTGCACCTGGCCGCCTAGGTTTTAAAATAACAATTTGTTTGATATCCCTTAGATGCTGTTGCGATCTAAGGTGACTTCACTATCTGTTGGGACCTAGAGTACAAATTACACAGGGGGCCTGCCAGACTCAACATCAAGGAATCCTTGCCTGGACACTGAGGTTGGGCTCACATGATCAGCTAGGTCCACCTGCGTTGGAGTTTCTACCATAGCAATACCTGAATGGCATCTTCAGTGAGTGACTCTGGGCAATCTCTTAAGAGGATAAGTCAGCCAAACCCAACTGGTGATGTGGGTGGAATGTATTCAGAGTTATTGACAATGACATTGGCATCTTCATTGTTTCTTATGCGGTGTAGTGACAGCATATAACTCAGTGGTGGCCACAGACACCTCCCAGCATAGGGTGTCTGGAGCAGAGCCTCAGCCCTTGTCCTGCATGTTCTCCTCCAGGCTTGCCGCATGCTGGAGTGTAACCGTCCACACAGCTGGCCAGAGCCATTCTCAGGCTTTATTACTTTTCTCTGGGTCTTTTCTAGATTCCTCCTCTTCCATCATATTTGGGTGAGTACAGGAAATAGCAGAAAAGCTGATAGGACAGACAGATGTGCTGGATATCTGGAGACTGGCAGGAGAACCCCTTAGCTTCAGTTTCCTGAAGGACTTCCAGAACCTGTGTAATCCCTGAGAGGCCACCTTTGCTGCTGACCCTGCTCCTAGTTCCAACACCTTGGTGGGCTGCTTGATGTGGAGCTAAGTCGGCGGCTGGCAGCCCCTTCATTCCCAGGCCTATAAAATCTCTGCAGCCAAGTCATTTGGATTCCCACATCAAGAACAGTCACATTACTGAGCAATAACCCCGAAGTGTAAGGTTTATCTTATGGAGTCCAGGCTCATGTCTGAGTGCCTTAACCTGGGCTTGGGCTATGTGAGGAGTGGGTGGAGCCAGGGTCTGGGTATGATGGTCAAAGTGGTGCTGATTCCAACCTGGGTTCTGTTTAGTTTGGTTAAACTCTGAGGTGCATTTTGATTAAATTAGAAAGCGTTCATAGCACACTTTGTATAGGAAAAGGGCCTGTGTGGGATTTTTTTATGCCCTAACTTACTTATAAACAGCTGTGTGGGGAAAGGTAGTTGTTTTCTTCGTGAAATAACCCTGATATAGTAGAAAGATCACTACAGTGGGAATCCAAGCTGCTGGGCTCTTGTTCCACAGCCACTCACTTGCAAAGTGACCTTGTACGAGCCTCCTCTTATCAACAGGTTTTAGATTTCCCCATCTGTAGAGCAAGGTAGTTGGACTAGATGAGAACTGAGGTCATCTCCAATTTTAAGCGACAACACTTGAAATTTCCTCCCAAGATAAACTCAGAAGCAGCAGGAAGTTATTTCTAATGTCCCGTTCCCTACTGGAGTAAGGTTTGGATGTGGTGACCCAACAACCCTGGTGTCAAATACTCTGTCACTCACCAGATCACATATTAGAAAGTGTGTTCCCACTGCCGGTTCCAGAAAACAAACACCAGTAATCACATATGCGTAGAGCAATCCTAGCCATTTCTTTTGGAGATGGAAGTGAAACTCTCCCAACTTTCTGTTTCATAAATAAAGGAGAGCAGAGACATAACTCTTTTTTAAGAAGCATAATAATTAAAAATTACACTGTATTCTGTAATAACCACTTAAAGGACCAAGACAGGGAACAAAAAGCAAAAGAGAGGGAAATAAAGAGGAGAGAGGCACAGCAAGAGAGTAGAAGGAACTGGATCTACCCAGTTCAATTCAACCGACATTTACTAAGGCTAGAGAAGATTCATGTTCTCAGAGCAACGTAATAGTCATGATTGTTGATATGGTTTGGCTCTGTGTCCCCACCTAAATCTTATCTCAAATTGTAATTTCCACGTGTCAAAGAAGGGACCCGTAATCCCCATGTGTCAAGGGATTGGTTATGTGTCATGGGGGTGGTTACTCCGTGCTGTTCTTGTGATAGTGAGTGAGTTCTCACAAGATCTGATGGTTTTATAAGCGTTTGGAAGTCCCTCCTTTGTTCTTCCCTCTCCTGCCACCTTGTGAAGAAGGTGACTGCTTCCCTTTTTGCCATGATCGTAAGTTTCCTGAGGCCTCCCCAGCCATGTGGAACTGTGAGTCAATAAAACCTCTTTCCTTTATAAATTACCTAGTCTTAGGGAAGTTCTTTATAGCAGTGTCAAAATGGACTAATACAAATGTAAATATACATATTTTTTTTTCTTGCAACTACAGTTGTCCCTTGGTATACTCAAGGACTGATTCCAGGACCCTGGAGTATACCCAAATCCACATATACTCAAGTCTCTCCGTTGGCCCTATGGAACCTCCATATACAAAAAAATTGGCCCTTTGTATATGCAGGTTTCATATCCTGTGAATACTCTTATTTTCAATCTGTGTTTGGTTGAAGAAAATTCCACATGTAAGTGGAACCACACAGTTCAAACCCATGTTGTTCACGGGTCAACTGTATAGGCTTTCTTTGAGGACATCAGTCTAAGGACTGCAGTTTTCTCTTGGACCAGGGCTACCTTCTGTTGTTATACAATTCCTGATGGAGTGGGACCACTTTAGGTTCTGTGTGAGGTTGATCAGATTTCTAGCCTGGTCATGGGGGAACTTGTACAAATGCTTGTCACCCCTGGACAAGTAGTCACGGCCAGGGAGTTGGATGAACATAGAAGCTATTGTTGCTGCTTTCCCCAATAAGGTTTGGAAAGGCAGACATTTGAAAAATCCTGCTCTGTTCCATGGTGGAGAAACTGGCAGACACTACCTTGGCTAGGGGACAAAGTTCACATCGTGAGAGGTAAGTCGTGTTGACAGCGTGTAGCCTCATTGGCTGTGGAGAGGAAAGCACTTCACTTCCATTATATTTTTTCTCCAAAACCCATAGCATCAGTCTAATCATGAGATAAACATCAGACAAGCCCAAACTGAGGGGTGTGCTACAAAATATCTGACCAGGGTGTCCCAAAACTCTCAAGGACATAAAGAGCAAGGAAAGTCTGGGAAACTGTTACAGACCAGAGGAACTTAAGAAGACACAAGGCTTTTTTGCAAGGTGAAACCTGAATTGGATCCTGGAACAGAAAAGGGACGTTGGAAAAACTGGTGAAATCTGAAGGAAAAAAAAGCTAATTGTAGCCAATCAATGCTGGTTTCTTAGTTTTGATGAATATATTGTGGAAATGCTGGTTTCTTAGTTTTGATGAATATATTGTGGAAATGTAAGAATATTAACAACAGGGAACATTGGCAAACTCCATGTACTACCTTTGCGCTTTTTCTGTAAGTTTAAAGTTATCTCAAAATAAAAACATTTATTAAAAACACAAAGCAGGTGAGTCTGCATGTCCCCGTGGTGCAGCATCTAGCCTTTTGCGTGCCTCTCACTTTTCCACTCCTTACAGGATAAAGAGGACTCTCCTTTCCCTAGAAGTCCCCTTAGCAGGACTCCATTATTGAGGGTACCAAGTCAGTTTGCTCTTGGAAACATATGGCTTCTTTTCTTAGAAAACAGATGTAAAGTCTGGGTGCAGTGGCTCACGCCTGTAATGCCAGCACTTTGGGAGGCTGCGGTGGGCAGATCATGAGGTCAGAAGATCTGATCACGAGGTCAGGAGATTGAGACCATCCTGGCTAACACGGTGAAACCCTGTCTCTACTAAAAATACAAAAAATTAGCTGGGCTTGGTGGTGGGTGCCTGTAATCCCAGTTATGGTAAGCTGAGGCAGGAGAATCACTTGAACCCAGGAGGTGGAGGTTGCAGTGAGATAAGATCATGCCCCACTGCACTCTAACCTGGGTGACAGAGCGAGACTCCATCTCAAAAAAAAAAAAACAAACAAAAAAAGGTGTAAAATGTCTCATTAGGAAACTCTCATATACAAACCTCATGATTAAATGGTTTACCAAACTGGATTTGGATGGATAGAGTGTCAATAAATCAGCAATAGGAACCTGAATTTGTCCTGGGAATTAATTCTTGGTTGTGGCATTCCGGTAGAATCAAGTGCCCACATGAATCCATTCAGCCTTTCCCTGAGAGGAGAAAAGCGAAGATCGGAGAGGCAGAGGGACAGACTTCCTAAGACAATTGACCATTCCTTACAGAGCACATGTTGTGTGCCCAGCCTTCTGGCGGGCCTCTGAGGATGGGCTTAATCTCACAGGGGGTGGAGGCAAAGGACAGGGCATTGTAGCCTCTGAAGAGGCTACGGAGGGCCTGAGTCTGTGGTGGGGAGACTCGGCGGCCCCGGGGCAGTGCCTCTGCTGGCTGTCTGCCTGTGTTCCCACAGCAGCTGGGAACACAAACCAAGAAACTCCTCAGGGTTGCTCCTGTCTGGACATCAGAGAGCTCTTCTGCAGCTAGGGTGACCAGCTGTTCACATTCGCTTGGGATTGAGGACTTTCCTGCGGTGTGTGACTTTTGGTGCTAAAACTGGAGACTCCCAGGCAAATTGGGATGGTTGGTCACCCTACCTGCAGCTGATTGGGCTTAGAAGGAGCTACAATTAATGGGTCTGTGGTAGCATTGGTTTTTATTGTGACACCCCCCCTGCGGCTTGTTAATCAATGGAAAAGAAGCTGGAAATCATCATGGTATGGGACTCTGGTTCTTGGCCAAAAGGGAATCCCCATGGCCAATGCCTGTAAACAAACAGATGCTCAGATATGGCTCTCCTCCACCTGGCAGTGACATTGAAGCAAGAAGAGGTTGATTCCATGGAGCTAAGTGACACCTGCTATCAAGGGACGGTCTCATTATCTCCCGTCGAGACAGTGCTGGGCTCCGGTCACCAGAGGCAGGGACACATTTGTGTTGTCCTTTAAAGTGACTTCATGGATCTCAACCCATGAATGACCAAACATCCCTGAATCAACGGCCTGTCAAAGGCTGTAACAGGCATTGGACCAGAGTTGAGGGATGGGGGAAGCTCTGCATGACACCTGGAGTGGGGACGGATGTGGTCTCAAATAGCTCCAACAGGGAGGAGAGTATGGTCTGTACACTCGGGAAAGTGTGGTGCGGTAGGAGGGGATGCTCCCTCTGCACCGCTCACCATCTTCTCTCTAACTTGCTATTTTCTTTAGTTCCTGAGGTTTTTCATTGAACCACTATGCTCTTAGGCACCCAAACCAAATGCTGGGTATTCTCTTTGCCACTCCCTGTTTTCAGAGTGCAGCTCTGGCTGACCAATTCTCCCACCGTAAGACCTCTCTCCCATCTGTTTCTGCTGTCAGCATCCTAGCTCAGAGCCCACCAGGGCCACCCCAAAGCTCTCCCTGCTCCCTGCTTTCACCCTCCCTCTCTATCCTCTACCAGATCCATCTTCTCAAGGACCACCTTTGTCATACCCCCCATGCATCAATGTCATCTGACATCCTCCTGACAAAGCCCAACTTCTGGCCCTCCCTGGCCCCCAGCCTGCCTTCCTACCCCACTCTCCTTGCTCCCCATCAGCACCAGGTGTTCTGGGACTGAGCCCTCCATTCCTTGTTGATGCTGCTTGTTTTCCTGCTTCCCACCCTTGCTCATGCTGTTGCCTCCTTCAGAATGACCCGTGCTGGGGAAATCTTCATGATGGCTTTCCTGATTTCCTGGAAAAAGTGTTTCTCCCTGCTCTGGGCCTTTCCCCCAGCATGGGTGGGCCTGACTTTCAGGCTCTTTCTGTGCCCAGTTATTTACATACTGACCCACCCGCTGAGCAGGCCTCCTTGGAGGCAGGACAGCCCAACTCTAGGCACCAGTATAGACACTGGACACTGTACTTAGGGTCAGTGGGTCACTGAGAGAATCAAATGTGATCAGTCCCCAGTGGTATTTCTTGGAGTCCTTAGGCTCTCTGGGTACAGCCATGTCCAGCATGGGCTTTTTAAAATGGCCAGTGACATCTGCGTGGCTTGTGATGTGTCTTGTACCCTGTGTAGGATTAGGCGTTTTCATTTTTAGGCCTGTCAAGGGGAGACCTTGGAGGGCTGGGGCACTGGGCAGTGAGACCTGCAAGAAGGCTCAGGCTCCTATCCTCACCCCCAGCCAACCCTTAGAGCCTGTATTTGGGTTAGGAAGGCACAGGTCTGGTTACTGTCCGGATGGGGTTGGGCTTATGTGTTGGTAGTGGCTCAGGAGATACTGGACAAGCGACTGTCTGCTTTGGGGTAGCTGTATCCCTAAGCGAAGCCACAAGCATCTTGGCAGAATAATTTTATGATCTGGGAGTATCCTTAATTTTCTTTTAAATTTATTTTTAGAGACAGGGTCTTACTCTGTCACCTAGGCTGGAGTGTAGCAGCAGGATCATAGCTCACTGTGATCTCAAACTCCTGGGCTCAAGTGATCCTCCTGCCTCAGCCTCCAGAGTAGCTAGGAATACAGGTGTGCACCCCCACATCAGCTAATTTTTTTATTTTTATTTTTGTAGAGGGGGGGTCTTGCTATGTTGCCCAGGCTGGTCTCAAATTCCTGGGCTCAAGTGATCCTCCTACCTCGGCCTCCCAAAGTACTGAGATTACAGGCATAAGCCACCATGCCCAGCACCAGGAGTATCATTAAGAAGCAGCAGACCTTTCATTCAGCCAGAAACAAATGAGAAAATACTAACCATGACAGAAATAAACTCTTACTTCCAAAAGGAGCATTTTTTACCCCATCTATGACTTGTGGAATAATTTTAACCCCTATTTACCAGATGAGGAGACTGGGACGGGGACGCATGAAGGGCCTGGCTCCGGGACTTATAGGTGAGAGCTCCTGCTTTGTCCCTCCTAGAACATCATTAAGAAATAATCCCAGCTTAAGCAGCACCTTGATGAGTGACCTTGCGATTGGAAGGCAGATTCTGTTGCAGGAACGGTAGCCTCTCTGCACTCAAAGGAGATGTGTGTGTGAAGGAGAAAGAGAGGAGAAGGGGTGTCTGTGGGGCTGATTTGAAGTTTGAACAGCATCACGCAGCTGGAAGCCAAGGCAAGGCATTTCATCCACAGGGATCATCTGCATCTTTCCTGCTATCTGATGACTCAGGAGCATCCATGCGCATTTACCAAGTACCTGCCCAGTGTCAGGTGTATCAGGGAGTGAATTTGGCTGCTTGAAAAGAAAAAGTGGAATAGTTGGTTTAAACAAATAGGGCTTATTTTTCTCAGTTGAGCAAGAGGCCCAGGGATAGAGTGCGGGGCTGCTGCAGTTGTCATGCAGTGTTCCTGGGTAGTTTTCATCCTCAGGGTTTCTTCGTGGGTGGAAAGTGGCAGCTGCCTATCCATGTCACCTGCAGGAAGATGCCAAAGGAAATTCATGGAGGAAGGGGTACTCCTGTGTCAGGGAAGGGAACTCTGTTTACAAAGTGCAAATCGACTCCCACTGTGATCGGAAGGTGGTTTTTAGCAGGATGCCCACCACGCGGAGCCATGCTGAGTTGTTGATTCTGCCTCCGCAGTCGCCCTGCATGCTTCCTAAGGTTCTCTTGCTCTGGGAAGCTGGGTTTGCCCGGTGGCGACCCACTCTCCTTCCTGGCTTCCAGACCTATATGGTCCCTGAATCTCACTCCACACGTGGCCCTGACACAACTTACCTCTGCCTTTCGTTCCTGAGACTAATTGCCCCATTTTTCCCCTCTCTCCTGCTTGTGATTCGGCCCCTTAACCAGATCCCAAGGTTGAGATTTGAGTGCTCCCTTAACCATCCAGGCACTGCCCGGCTATTGACTTGGGCTTCTTCACTCACCCACACACTTGATCCTGAGAGCTGGGCCTGAGTAGGTGTGGGGGCAAAGGAAAAACAAAGATAAACCTGACTCAGGCCTTGCTCTGCAGGTCCCCAGTCAAGGCTGGCTTTGCCCTCACCTATGCTTGAATTCTAGCAGAATCTGGTCGGAGTCATGTGCTTGGTCAGGAAGGGATGAGACAGCTTCTGCACTTTGTGCAAAGGGCTTAGAGGAGAATCCAGACATTCCTCTTCGCTGGGAGTAAACTAGCCACCTGGGGACAAAGAGCAAATCATAACAGGAGTCCGGGGAAACCCAAATATGCCTCAAAGGGGACTGGAATGACAGTTTCTTCTCCCTGGAGGCAGGCCTGAGATAAACTGAAGACTAGCAGTTTTTGCTTACTGAAAAAGAGGAACATGACTCAGTCCTTGGGAGGCACTCATGGCTCAGAAAGTGCCAACTCATCCCAACCAAGCATTCTCCTCTAAAATGGCCATTTCTCTCCTCTCTACCTGCCCTACTCTTAGCCATGCATCAAGGCTTGCTCAAATATGCCCTTCGATGGGAAGCTTATTCTTACACTGCAGGCGAATCAAACTCTTCCTTTTCTGTGCTTTCTTGGCACTTTTGAAAATAGTATCTTGATTGTAATTTATCTTTTATCATAATTGGGCTTGCTGATATGCCCTCCCACTGGGCTTCTTGAGGTCAAGAGCTATGTCTTTTTCATCTCAGTGTCCCTGGGCCCTGGCTTGAGCCTGACACAGAGGAGGTGCTCAGTGAAAGATGTAGCTTTTAACAAAATCTAATGTTACTGCCAGGGGTTGTCTGTTAGCTTTCCTTCATCTACAATCTCCAGGGTTGCATTCCGGCTGCTAGCTACCCTGACCCCCTCTCCACTTGCTCTGGACCTGCCATCACCACAGCCCAAAGCTCTGGGTTGCTAACAGCCTCTGTCCCCCACAGAGCCATTAGTAGGTGTCCTTTGGGGCAGAGGGCCCTGTGCCCAGCTCTGCAGGCCTAACGACACCATTCCTGAATGGCGACATGGATGTGTTTACCCAGCCTCTGTAACCTGACATGCAGCAGTCCTAATTGTCCTCTGCGTGAACCTGGTGCAGTATTTTAGTGTGTCCTATAGAATAATATTGAGAGAATGAACAAATCAGTGGCAGAACCTTCTGAGATTTGCCTAATTGCAACTCAAATTGTTCCCATATTGGAAATTACATGGCTAAGATGCCTTTTGGGGAACTGAATATTAGGAGCCCAGGAAGGTCAGCCAACAATGAGTTGCCAGACTTTTTCTCCATGAACTCTTACCGAGACATTTTCCTGCAATGAGACATGTATAGGTTGACTCAAAACAGATTTCACAATCACTTTATCCAATTTTGGACGGCTTAATTCGGCAGTTCACGTAACCCTCTTTAATCAGCCTCACGTTCAGGGGTTGTTGTTGTGGCTCAAGCACTTTGACGGGTAGATGGCACTCAGGTCAGTACCCCTAAATGGGGAGGCTCTGGCCAGTCACTGCCTTGGCTCTGGGAGCCTGGACTATATTTGGAACTCTTAGGGGCCCTGGGTCATTGTGAAGTCTCCAGCGAGGTAGGAAACCTGTGATTCTTGTTCCCAGGCGTGCTTTATGCCCTGAGTGGGATGCCCGGGGATGATGAAAGTGAAAGTTTTGTGTGTGTGTGTGTGTGTGTGTGTGTGTGTGTGTGTTAAGATTGTTCCAGTTTTGACACTGTTGTGAGGGGTATCGAGGTCTCTCAGGATTTTTGACTCTGACATTGAATAACAATAGGCTGGCTATCTGCCTAGTTCAGCACCCTCAGGGAAAAAGTAATTTCCTGTCTTTCCCTTTATGGCATTGGGGAAGCCATATGCCTGGACTTAGATTGGGAGGTAAGTCCAATTGCTGATATCTACCTTGTCACCTCTCAGGGGTTGAGGAAGTTGCAACCTCTACCAGGGAGACTTTTTTGTCTGGCACTTTAACTTTGCAAGCCCTTAGTTGTTGCTTGTTCCATGGGTAATCACAGCCATCCTGTGAGAGGGCCCCGGGAAAAACGATTCCTCTTTTACATATAGTGTAAACTGAGGTCTGGGCAGCTCAAGTGATTGGTCCAAGGTCATTCGGGGAGTTCATGGCAGAGTCAGGTCAGAACCAGCCTCCTACTCTCAGTGCGTGGGTCTCTTTTGTTTTGTTTCTTTATTAAGGAATCTGCCTCTCATTTGCTTGGATGAAACACTGTTGAGCAGTTTGGGCTGTGCTGGTTCTGAAGAGTGAAGCAGCATTGCAGGGGTGAGTGGCGTCATCTGCATATCACCCTCAAACCATCCCCGAGTGTGGCCAGCCCGCTCCTGGGTATCTTCCCAGTTACCTGAATGTGGCTGTCGACTCACTCTCCACCTAAACCCTTCAGGTTCTTGCTCTGTGGAGAGGTAGGGCAACCCTGGCTACAGACCAGGTATGTTCAGGGCCCAGGTGGGGAAGGAGAAGGCCACACTTGCCAGGTACTATTCTGGTTGCTTTGCATGAAGAGCTGCAGTCAACGCAGTCAGATTTTGTGAAAAAGAAAGCCACTGTTGCCTGGTTGGTGGGAGGGATGTGTGTGCGTGTGTAGGGTAGCATGTGTGTGGCATGTTATGTGTGTATGGTGTTTACAGTGTGTGTAGTATGTATATGTAACGTGTGTGGTATGTGACTGTGGTGTGTATATGTGTATAGTGTGTGTGTTGTGTGTATGGGGTATGTGTGTGGTATGTGTTTGTAGTGTGGGTTGTATGTGTGTGGTATGTGTTTGTAGTGTGTGTATGGGGTGTGTGTGTGGTATGTATTTGTAGTGTGGGATGTGTGTGTGTTGTGTATTTGTAGTGTGGGGTGTATGTGTGGTATGTGTTTGTAGTGTGGGGTGTGTGTGTGGTATGTGTTTGTACTGCCCCCATGACTCAAATTATCTCCCACTGGGTCCCTCCCACAACACGTTGGAATTATGGGAGTACAATTCAAGATGAGATTTGGGTGGGGACACAGAGCCGAACCATATCATTTTGCCCCTGGCCCCACATACCATATGTGTGTGTGGTATGTGTAGTGTGGGTTGTGTGTGTGTGGTATGTGTTTATAATGTGTGTATGGTGTGTGTGTGTGTGTGTGTGTGTTTGAAGGGTAGTGGTCAGGGAAGGCTTCCTGCAGTGGGGGTGGATTTTGAGTGAGCATTCTCAGCAGGCAGGGTAGTGATGGGGACAAGGGAAGGTGTGGGGGCAGTGGGGGCAGGGAAGGCAAATGGCTGGGGCTGTATCTGACTGATACTGAGGGGCCTGTTAGGAGTCCATGCCAGGGAGGTGAGCTGCTGTTGTCCTGACCAAGCCCTTTGCAGGCGCCTGACTTCCCCGTTGCAGCAGTAGAGCCAGGTCTTTTGGCAAGTGCTCTTCCTCCAAACACTGCCTTCCAAAGACAGTGATCTGACTCCAAACATCTGCAGAATGGAAAAAGAGAACAGAGGCAAATGGGATGGGCGGGGCAGTCATATCTTAAAACTCCAAAATGATCTCCTCTGACTCCATGTCTCACATCCAGGTCACGCTGATGCAAAAGGTGGTTTCCCATGGTCTTGGGCAGCTCGGCCGCTGTGGTACAGCCTCCCTCCCAGCTTCTTTTATGAGCTGGTGTTGAGTGTCTGTGGCTTTTTTGGGCACGTGGTGCAAGCTATAGGTGGATCTACCATTCTGGAGTCTGGAGGATGGTAGTCCTCTTCTCACAGCTCCACTAGGTGGTGCCTCAGTAAGGACTCTGTGTGGGGGCTCCAACCCCACATTTCCCTCCTGCACTGCCCTGGCAGAGGTTCTCCATGAGAGCCCTACCCCTGCAGCAAACTTCTTCCTGGACATCCAGGTATTTTCATACATCCTGTGAAATCTTGGCAGAGGTTCCCTAACACCAATTCTTTACTTCTGTGCACTGGCAGGCTCGACATCACTTGGAAGCTGCCAAGGCTTGGGGCTTGTACCCTCTGAAGTCATGGCCCGAGCTCTATGTTGGCCCCTTTCAGCCATGGCTGGAGCAGCTGTGACACAGGGAACCAAGTCCTTAAGCTGCACACAGCAAAGGGACCCTGGGCCCGGCCCAGGAAACTATTTTCTTCTAGGCCTCTGTGCCTGTGATGGGAGGGGCTGCCTTGAAGACCTCTGACATGCCCTGGAGACAGTTTCCCCATTGTTTTGGGGATTAATATTGGGCTCCTCGTTAAGCAAATTTCTGCAGCAGGCTTGAATCTCTCCTCAGAAAATGGATTTTTCTTTTCTATCGCATTGTCAGGATGCAAATTTTCCAAACTTTTATGCTCTGTTTCCCTTTTAAAATTGAATGCTCTTAACAGCACCCAAGTCATCTCTTGAATGCTTTACTGCTTAGAAATTTCTTCTGCCAGGTACCCTAAATTATCTCTCTCAAGTTCAAAGTTCCACAGATCTCTAGGGCAGGGGCAAAAATGCCATCAGTCTCTTTGCTAACAGTTCCCAAGAAGTTCCTCATCTCCATCTGAGACCCCCTCAGCCTGGACCTTATTG